>NC_000014.9:76732925-76884440 GCF_000001405.40 Homo sapiens | reverse complement strand
TAGGAATTCTAAGTCACAGGATGAGATAGGAGGTCAGCACAAGATACAGGTCATAAAGACCTTGCTGATAAAACAGTTTGCAGTAAAGACGCCGGCCAAAACCCACCAAAACTAAAATGGCGACAAGAGTGACTTCTGGTCGTCCTCACTGCTACACTCCCACCAGCTCCATGACAGTGTACAAATGCCATGGCAACGTCAGAAAGTTACCCTATATGGTCTAAAAAGGGGAGGCATGAATAATCCACCTTCTGTTTAGCATATTATCAAGAAATAACCATAAAAATGGGCAATCAGCAGCCCTCAGGGCTGCTCTGTCTATGGGGTGGCCATTCTTTATTCCTTTACTTTCTTAATCAACTTGCTTTTGCTTTGCACTGCGGAGTCCCCCTGAATTCTTTCTTGCGCGAGATCCAAGAACTCTCTCTTGGGGTCTGCATCGGGACCCCTTTTCTGTAATAAGACCAGAGGTCAGAGCGGGCCTGGGCTGGCCCTGCTGGCGGAGGCCCTGAAGAGCTTTATCCTGGCTCCAGGCCTCACCACCGCCACCCTCCGCCTCACACTCCCCTTGTGCCCACCTCAGACCTGCAGCCTCCTCCAACAGCGAGTTCTAGCTGAAGTGGCTCACCTGCTTGCCCACCACCCATGGAGGGCCTTGGCAGGGAGGGGCCTATCTTCCCCTGGCCCCTGCCCTTCTTTCTTCCTGACCCCACCTGCAGCCTGTGGAGGTCAGGGCTGTTTCCTCTCTCTCCTCTCTTCCGGAAACCCACGTGCCACCTGGCCAACCTCGAAAGGAGGCCCTGCTGGGTTCTTCATCTTTCTCCTTCCAGCTGTGGAGAGGTGGGGGTTGGGGCGGGGCAGAAGGATGGGTTGTCTGTTCCAACACCCTCCGATTCTGTTTCCCAGACAGGAAGGCCCTTTGTGTATAAATGTCCTCACCCTAGATGGGGTCTGCTAGATAATGTGTGGGCCATTTGTTAAAAAATTGTTAAGAATTTCAAGACGGAGACAACAGAGCATGAAGCCAAGTGGCCGATCCTTCCATGTGCGGAGCCTCGTGTGACCACACAGGTTGAACACCCACAAAACTGGCCCTGCCCCCGGAAAGCCCTAGGCCCTCCTCGGCCTCGCCGTCTCTCTCCTGGACCATAGATGCGGTGGAGACCTTGGCTGGAAGGCAAGTCTGAGCGGACCTCCACCCTACCCTCTCCTTCGCTTCTCACAGTCTCCTCAGTGGAAGTGTCTAATGCTCCATCTCGACCTTCTTCCCGGGGAAACTGAGGCAACGGGGAGGACTGGGGCCTCCCGATCCCATGCAGTCCCACCCATCCCAGTTGGCCAAGGGAGGGCTGATGGTGGTGGCTGAGTCCAGGGCTTCCCCTGCGTTGCCCAGGATCTGTTAGTCTCAGTGTTCCTGGTGGGCCAGGGAGAAGTCCCTGCCTTGGCCTTCTGTTACCCATTAGCGCCAGCGTTCCTGAGGGGAGGGAGCCAGCGGATTTTGGGGGCACTTTGCCAGTTCCAGGCCAGGCCTCCCTGCAGCCACAGCTGGGGCACTTTGTTCTTTGCAGCCGATGCATAGCAGCTGGCTCCACCAGCAACCAGGCAGGATGGCCACCCTTGGGCTGTTCAGTTCCCTGAACGAGGGAGAGGCCAGGGCTTTGGATTGGGATCCAGGATTTGCTTGACTCTGGCAGCCCCAGCTGGGCTGAAGTCAGGGGAAGCAGAAGCAGGCAGGCCATCCACAGGGTCTGGAAATGATCTCTCCAATAGCAGAGAAAGGCCAGGCCCTGGGGAAGGTGGAATGACCACTCTGCCCTGGCAGGCCCCGCAGGATGCAGCCAATGGTCCAGGCTTCCAGGTCTGCCACCAGCTTCAGGGACCATAAGACCCACCACCCCTCCTACCAGGGAGCACTTAGTCAGGGCCTGGTGAGGGGCAAAGTGGTCTCGGGGCACCTCCTGCACCTATCCTCACAAAAGCCAAGGAGAGGGGTCCTCTTATTATAATAACGAGATTCAGATAATCGAGCCACTGCTTCCAGCCCACAGAGCCACTATGTCGCCCACATGTGGGGGTCGTCACAGTGGGAATGTATGGGGGCTACTTGTGTAATGTGCACCTCCCTGATTAAGGCTCTAAGCTCTGTGTCACTGAGCAGAGCTGCCATGTGCATTTATGTCTGGCCAATGCGATGTTCAACATCGTGACTCTGGTGCTACGCACAGTGCCTGGCACATAATAGGACCTCCATAGGTAATACGGGAAGAAAGGAGACCATTGGGTCAGGATCCCAACACAGGTCAGCTTGATCCTGAGCCTGTGCGCTAAACCACTGCGCACACTACCTCACTGTCACCCGAGGTCTCTCTTGACAAACTTCTGGAAGGCTGGTGAAGGTCCTGGGAACAGACCCAGATAGAGCCCTGCACCCAGTCTAGGCTGGAAAGCAGATAGCACTGGCCTTGACTTCATGGAAGGAGCTTAGGGAAAGGGGGAAGGACACCCTGTCTCCCCTTCTCCGTCCCCCTATCAAGAGTCCCCACTCCTGAGGCTTTGGGAAGGTCCCTCCTCCATGGAAGACCTCACTGGGCCAGCTGGTTCCTGGGTGGCTTCTTACTTCCCCAGCCCCGTAAGGCAGGGGTCATGGGCAGCTGGAGGAGTCTGGCCCTGCATGGGCTGGGTAGCAGGGAGGGCTTCAATAGGGAGGCCTTTCCTGGAAGAAATAACTACATTTGTAGCGTGCTTCCAATCTTGCTCCATGGAGCAATTCAGTCCTTGGCTTTCACGGTGCAGCTGGATCATCTGCTTTCACAGTTTTGCTGGAACCTCAGCCTCCAGGCCAACACTTCTGTTGTCTCAAGCATCTGAGGGTGTTCACCCCAGACATATTTACACCAGGCACTGCCAGCCTACTGGGGCGGTGTGTCTGCCAGAGAGGCGTTCAGGAAACCCCACAGCTGGGCTGCTGAGAGCGGTCTCACTGTCCTTTAAATGTATTCATTAGAATCCTCTCTGAGCCTCTCCTCTGTCCCACGCTAAGTAGGCAGATCCACCAGGGGAAGCACAGCCCTGGACTCAAGGGGCTGCCAGGCCAGTAGGGGAGGAAAACATGCCAGCAGACAACAATCACAGAGGGATGCTAGTGTGCAGGGACACATGGAGGGGCCCGAATGTCCTAGGGGGCTTTTGGCTACAAGTAACAGAGAAATCAACTCATCCTAGACATAGGATGTGATTGTGGGTTTGTTTGTTTGTTTGTTTTTTTGAGACAGAGTTTCACTCTGGCCCAGGCTGGAGTGCAGTGGCGTGATCTCGGCTCATTGCAGCTTTGATCTCCTGGGCTCAAGCAATCCTCCCATTTCAGCCTCCTGAGTAGCTGGGACTACAGGTGCTCACCACCATGCCCAGCCAATTTTTGTACTTCGTGTAGAGATGGAGTTTTGTCATGTTGCCCAGGCTGGTCTCAAACTCCTGGGCTCAAGCAATCCTCCTGCTTCAGCCTCCCAAAATGCTGAGATTACAGGCATGAGCCACCTTGCTTGGTGACATAGGATGCTTATTGGTTCACTTGACAGGGAGGGGATTGGGACAGTGTTGCCTAGCGAGACTGCCTCATCCCATCTTTCTGCTCAGCCATCCTCAATGCTTTTGGTGATGCCACAATACCGAGCATTATATCCGCTTATTGAAAACCAGAGTGGAAGGGCAGGCTCTCCTGTACCTGTTCCTTTTATCAAGAAGGAAAAGCTTTCCCAGAAGCTCCCATCAGACATCCTGTTACATCTAATTGGCTCAGCTAGGTCACATGGGCATGGATAGCTACAAGGGAGGCTGGGAAATGGAGTAGCCTGCATTCTCAGTTCTGTATCAGTAGAAAACAGGACAGAGGAAATGGCACGGAGCTGGAAAGAGGTTATCTGCCCCTGCTTTATCTAGAACAGGTGCTCTCAACCACAGAATGATCAACATTCTGGCCTAAAAAATTACTGTGAGGGCAGGAAGTTTTGCAGCGTCCTTGGCCTCTAGCCCCTGGATGCACCCCTACACCTCTCCTCCAAGCTATGACAGCCCAAAACACTTCCAGACATTGCCAAATGTCCTGCTGGGGAGGGAAGTGAAATCACCCTCATCAGGTTGGTCTTGAACTCCTGGCCTCAAGCAATCCTCCTACAATGGCCTCCCAAAGTGCTAGGATTACAGGTGTGAGTCAAGGTGCCCAGCCCACCCTCCACTGAGAAGCACTGATCTAAGAGTCTTCACTAAGCCATACTGAGAAGTTAGGGAAGGTTTCCCTGGAGGAGGTACTGACTGAGCTCAGATGTGAAGGGTGTGGAGTTGTAGAGCTGGGGAAGGGGGAACACGGGCTGGAACCAGGTCTTTAAGCCCAGTGTTTCATCCACTATACCTGACGCTTATGAGGCAGCACTGATAAGGGAATTGCTACATGACCGATGCCCACTGCTACGGCTGGAGCCATTTTCCTGGCGATGTGGGCACACCAGTGGGCAGGAGGGGTTGTAGGAGAAACTGCCCTAGTCTTGGAGACCATGAGATTGATGACTTCTGCCCAGTGTCTCCTACCTCTGATTTCCTCCCAGCTAGACAGAGAGTCCTTGAGTTCTGGTGTGACAGTGACAACCAAAGACTAGAGTGGGGTCCTGTTGGGAGAGTCGGAGTTTAGTGCCTGCCCCCCTCCTTTGTTGTCAATCAGACACTTGGGGCCCACCTGTGCTGTCCTCGCACTGCCCACCCACCCCCACTGTTTTTGGGAAAGACTTTGCGGGGCCACCTTTTTGCTTGGTCACTTTCCAGAACCCCACACTCTGGGCTGTGCACTCACTGGGCTCTCCTCTCAGTCCCCTTTGCTGGGTCTTTCCCTCCTGGCAGTCTTCGTCACGCTGGTGTTCCTCGGGCCTTGGTCCCTTTTCTTCTCTGTCCGCACTCAGACCCTTCGGGACCTCATTTGGCCTCATGGCATTAAATAACATCTACACACACAGCACTCCCAAATACGCACCCTAGTTCACCACCCCCAGCCAAAGCCCACTTTTGGATGTTTTTTTTTTTTAATTTTTGAGACAAGGTCTTGTTCTGTCACCCAGGCTGGAGTGCAGTGGCGTGATCTCAGCTTACTGCAGCCTTGATCTCCTGGGCTTAAGCGATCCTCCCACCTCAGCCTCCTGAGTAGCTGGGAACACAGGAACACACTACCATGCCCAGCTAATTTTTTGATTTTTTTGTAGATACGGGATCTTACTTTGTTGCCCAGACTGGTCTTGAACTCCTGGGCTCAAGCGATCATCCTACTTCAGTCTCCCAAAGTGCTGGGATTACAGGCCACCACACCTGGCCCATTTTTGTATTTCTAATGGCCACCTGACTCCTCTCCACAATACCTAGTAGACTTCCCCAAAGTAATTCCTGATTTTCTTTCTCTCTACCTCCCAACACCCAAATCTATTCCACCAGTGTCTTCTCCATCTCAGGTGATGAAGACTTCATCCTTCCCATTGCTCAGGCCCCAAGCCTCGGGGGCATTCTTGACTCATGTTTCTCCAACAGTCCCTATCCCGTGTGAGGGAATCTTGTCTTCACCTTTAAAATATATCCAGGCTCTGCCCACATTTCATCACCTCCACTGCCTCCACCTTCTTCTCTTGCCTGCATTATTGCAATGGCTTCTCAGTTTATTTTCCTGATTCTCCCTGGGATCCCTAAAGTTGGTTGTCAACACACCAGCCACGGTATTCTCTTAAAAAAAAAAACAGAGATGGGGTCTTGCTATGTTGGCCAGGTTGGTCTTGGCCCAAGCAGTCTTCTCACCTTGGCCTCCCAAAGTGCTAGGATTACAGGCATGAACCACTGTGTCTGGCCCACAGTAACTTTTTTTTTTTTTTTTTTTTTTTTAAAGGACAGAGTTTTGCTCTGTCACCCAGGCTGGAGTGCAGTGGTGTGATCTCAGCTCACTGCAACCTCCATCTCCCAGGTTCAAGCAATTCTCCTCCTTCAGCCTCCTGAGTAGCTGGGATTACAGGTGCCCGCCACCACACCCAGCTAATTTTTGTATTTTTGTAGAGATGGGGTTTCGCCATGTTGGCCAGGCTGGCCTCGAACTCCTGACCTCAAGTGACCCACCTGCCTCAGCCTCCCAAAGCGCTGGGATTACAGGTGTGAGCCACTGTGCCTGACCCACACTATCATTTTAAAAAGGTCTTGGAGTATGCTATGACTCTGCCCTCACCCTGCAGAGCCGTCTCCTTTAGACACCCACGTTCCCTGATGGCCCTCAAGGCCCCACCTGACCTGGCCATGTTCCCTCTGAACTTGCTTGTACCACGCTTGCTCTCCTTCCCTCCATCTGCTCTGGCCACAAGGGACACACCAAAGGGCTCCTGCATGGAGACTTTTCTTCAGCTGTGCCCTCTTAAGTGCTTCCCCCAGATGCCGCGTGGCTTCCCACAAGGCCTGCAAGCCTGCCAGCCTCCTGGCTCTATTTTTCCCCATAGCACTTCTAATATACTGTATGATTCACTTATTTCTTACATTATTGGTCAGTCTTCTCTTGCTAGAATGCAAACTTCACATGAGAGACAGGTTTTGTCTTTTTTTATTCACTGATGTATCCCAAACACCCACACAGCACAGGACACACAGAGAGCCCTTAATAAGTATTTACTGAATGTCAGTGAAGTCATTTACACTTTGGTATAAATAAATGTGCATTCTCCCCCTTTACCCCAGATAATTTGCCTTCTGTTTTTTCCCTACTAATTTCTAGAAGGGGTTATTTCTTGCATCACAGTGCACTTGGGAAAGGCATTTTGGGGCTGTGGGTTTTACAGTCTTTTTTTTCTTTTTCTTTTTTTTTTTTTTGAGACAGAGTCTTGCTGTGTCGCCCAGGCTGGAGTGCAGTGGCACGATCTCGGCTCCCTGCAAGCTCTGCCTCCCAGGTTCACGCCATTCTCCTGCCTCAGCCTCTCCGAGTAGTTGGGACTACAGGCGCCCGCCACCATGCCCGGCTAATTTTTTGTATTTTTAGTAGAGACGAGGTTTCATGGTGGTCTCGATCTCCTGACGTGATCCGCCCGCGTTGGCCTCCCAAAGTGCTGGGATTACTAAGCATGAGGCACCACGCCCGGCCTACAGTCTTGAAATAACACTTAGTAGACTGAAGACCCACTGTGGGGCAAGGACTCAAGGAGAGAGAAGCCCAAAGAACTGCCTCACACTCCTCAAAATCAGAGGGGGTGGGTGGCAGCCTCCTGGGTTTGACAGAGAGGGAAGGAAGGGATAGCATCTCACCCACGTTTATTATGTGACCACAGCTGGCTGCTCCAAGGACAGGGAAGAAGAGAGAGGCGTGGAGAAATAGACAAGCTACTCGCAAGGTTGTAGTTGTATTCAGAAGGTGTCTGGTTGCTTGCCTGGACTTCCCTTCCTGCAGCTACTAGATGTGGCAGGTGGGCCAGAGTTGCTGAGAAGCTAAAAAAACTCAAGCTGCAGGGACCTGCACTGCAGTGAGGCCCCTTCCAAGGCCCTGGGGGGATTTGATGCTTATGGTCTTGTCAGCTTTAAGAAAATGTGTCATTTGTTGTGATTCTTCCCCCTCATTCTAAACATCCACTTTCTATCCCTAACATTGTATTTGTGAATTTGTATTTTTTTCTTTTTTTTTGAGACAAAGTCTCATTCTTGTCCCCCAGGCTGGAGTGCAATGGTGCCATCTCAGCTCACTGCAACCTCTGCCTCCCGGGTTCAAGTGATTCTCCTGCCTCGGTGCCTCCTGCCCCCCAACCCTGAATAGCTGGGATTACAGGTGCCTGCCACCATGCCTGGCTAATTTTTGTATTTTTAGTAGAGACACGGTTTCACCATGTTGGCCAGCCTGGTCTAGAACTCCTGACCTCAGGTGATCCACCCGCCTCTGCCTTCCAAAGTGCTGGGATTACAGGCGTGAGTCACCGCACCTGGCTGTATTTTTTTTTTAAAGAGGGCCCCTAAATTGTATAAGCTCAGCTCCCACAGAACCTGGACGTCGCAGGGAGGCTGAAGGCTATGGCCCAGGCTCCCCTGGTGCAATCTGTGTCACTGAAGCTGGCTGCATTGCTGCTTTTCTGAGGGCACCTAATAAGAATTTGATTTCCCTGAGCCAGTGTGGGGTCCTATTTTCTTCTGTGCATCTCAACTGAGCCTTAGGGAGCTGGGAAAGGCTATGGAGATGGGGTACTTGTGGGGTTGGAGCACCCTCTGCTGGGAAAGCAGAGGTACAGCCGGGAGTGGCTGCACTGAATCAGGGTTGTTAGACACAGGTCAGAAAGCAGGAGGGGCTTGGACTTAGCTCACAGACAAGCCCCTCTTTTGGGGCATGGGCACATTGGAGCACACACACCTCATCTCTGAAATTCAAATGCGAGTATGCTGCTGTGTACATGTGCTCCATTTCCATCCCACCTGGAGGAATACCAACAGGAGTAACCGCAATTCAGTTCTGACACTAACCCCCCTAGGGTTGGCAGCAGACTTTAGTTTTCGGGCTCAGTCCTCCACAAAACTGCCTCTGTTTCAGTACCAGCTGCAAGTTGGGCACCCAGACCACCTGCACTTCTGACCAGCCAGCTACAAATTTGAGCATCCCCACTGCTTCCCCAGTTTTGATAATTTGCTGGAATGACTCAAAGCTCACTGAAAGCACGATACTGTGCTTATAAAATCACAGCTTTATTACAAAGATACAGCTCGGGAACAGGCACACGAACAGTGACAGAGGGCAAGGTCTGGGAGGGAGCACAGAGCTTCCATGTTCTCTTCCCATGGAATCAGGGATCGCCAGCCTCTGGCATCTCAATGTGTTCACCAACCAGGGAGTTCTGCAGAGCCTCAGTGTGCAGAGTATTTACTGGGGTTTCATTGCCTAGGCTTGCTTGAGTGAACACTGGCCACATGACTAAACTCAATCTCCAGCCCCCTCTCTCCTTCCTGGAAGTCTATTGGCCAAAAGTACCAACCTCTAATCCTGTGGGTGGTCTTTCTGGTGACCAGCACCTGCCTAAAGTGATCTAGGGGTCCACCCTGAGCCACCTCTTTAGCATAACAAAGATTTTCATCTCTCAGGAAATTACAAGGGTTTTGAAGCTCTGTGCCAAGAACCGGGAAGAAGACCAACTATATTCTTTATCATCAAATAACACATCCACACAAGCACAAATCATGTCTCAGGTAGCCTGGACCCCACAGCATTTAGCCAGTCACTCTGTTTCATCCACAGACTGCCTAGGGTGGTGGCAACACAAGCCAAAGCCCTCTGAGGGTTCCCTGGATGACCTTCCATAAAAGGAGCTCCCGGGCCTGGGGCAGCCTCACCCCAGCTGCCCTTGGGTTCCCTCCCCTCCAGGACACCTGCTTCTTGAAGAATGGTTCAAGGCCACTGGGCAGGAGTTCGTGTTTAGGGCACAGGCTGGCCTTGCCAGTCATTGTGTTCTTTTGTTTAAAACAAAACAAAACAAATCCCAAGCCCCCACTTGGCAAGGCAGGCCTGGTCGCCTGAGGACACCACAGCTGCCACCATAGTCAGACACCAGAGGCTGCAGTTTGCATCGTGAACCTGCAGGCCCGGGACCATGAATGACACCCTGCACCGTTACCACTGCTGCCCCGGGAACTCCACTGAACTTCAACGTTGCAGCTACCACAGGGAATTCTCTGTAGCCCTTGGTTCTTTGGTGCCAGCTCCTGTATTTGGAGTGGCTATCTGGGTAGGCATAATCCTATGTCCCAGCTGCCTTCCCCAACACTTGTAAGGTAGGGCATTTTTCAGCCCAGGTGGGAAGCCAAAAAAAAAAAAAAAATGCCGGATGTCTCTCTGTCTCCTGTTCTTTCAGGCCTATGATACTGCGCTGCCCACACCACACCCCCCAGTGCTGCTGGCCCCTGGTCTTCCCACCCCACCCTCCAAGACCATGGACAAATTCTTCTGTTTTAATGCCAGCCTGAAGCCATGGCCTGAGATTGGAACACCCCCCATGGTATTTCCAACACCTATTAGTTGGGTGTTTCAAAGATAGCTGTTCAGTTTGGTCCCTCCTGTGCTCTGCTGGTCCTCCAGCTCCCCATACCTCTCCCTCTCAGGAGTGGAACACCACTGTAAGGAGGGCATGCTTATATTAGGCACTTACTGTATGCCAGGCCTTGGGCTTGGTGTTTCATGTGTGTGATTTCATTAAATCTTCACAGCCATGTTCTCTGATGGCCTTCAAGCCCCCACCTGACCTGAACACATTCCCTCTGAACTCACTTCCACCATGCTTTCCTTCTTTCCATCTGCTCCAGCCACAGAGGACACACCCTATAGAGGAGGTGGTACCACTAACATTCCTGTTTACAGATGAGCAAACTGAGATTCAGAGAGGATAAATGAATTGCTCAGAGTCAGAGATGGTAATTGGTGAAGCCAAACAGAATTCAAACCCAGGAGTGTCAAATGCCAGAATTCGCAGGCTTAATCCCTTCATAGTTCTAGTACACAGATATCCACACTCCGCTTCTCCCACCTGCTCCCAGCACAATTTCTGAGCCATGCAGCTGGTGGGGAGAGGGCATCAACTTGCCCTTGAGAATTTGGCCACACAGAGCACCATCTCAGCCTTCGCCGCCTTCCGTTAGCCAGTCCAGCCTGGCAGAGGGGCGGGGAGGCAACGTGGCTAAGCCCTCAGGGAGCCACAGCTGTATTGCCAGGGCCTGGATCTTGGCGTTGCTACTTACTGGCTGGGGCACCTTGGGCAAAATGCTTAAATTCTCCACACGCCCCCCTCCGCCCCCGTTTCCCTGGCTGCAAAATGGGGATTCTACAGTGCTCACTATGCAGAATCACTGTAAGGATGCTAGGAGTGAGTGCATGAAGCCGCATTGAGTCGGGTATGGAAGGACAGCAAGCACAGGGTGCCGTCTCTCTGGGTTGCAGCCTGACCACCTCTGAAGGCTGGGCCAGCGCCTCTGAGCCATCTTTGACCTTGACGCCCCTCCTGCTCCTGCAAGGCCCCTCTACCTCTGCCTCGTCCTCCATGGGAAAGCTGCAGCTGCTGCTGGGGTCCTCCTGCCTGCCAGCCTCCTGACCTGCCAAACTGACAAAGCGCTTGTGCAGTCCTGTCCTCATGGAGCAGGACTCCTCTCTGCGGTCTGCCCAGCTTCAGGGCGGGCTGACTGGAGAAGATGAATAAATATTCATGGAGCTCTTCCTGGGTGCCTGATTTTCTTCCTCACAAGGGTGCAAGATGGTCACAATGAGGACACGGAGCCTTGGAGAGGTCTGCCCAGGGGTTGGGCTGCTGGACCTTTCGAGGCTCAGATTCCAAGTTGGCGTTCCTCAGGGGCAGAAGTTTGGGAGATCAGAGAAACTTGCTAAGACCCCAAGTTTAGGAGAAGGCAAAGCACAATTCTCCGGATGACTTTTGGAGCTGACCTGACACCTAGCGGCCACAAGTGGGAATTACTCCACCTTTGGAGGCTCCCAGGGCCGCTGAGGCAGATGGGCTTGGCCACCCATCTCTTACTTGAGTGTCAAGGGGTGGCCTGGAGGGTTGGGGTGGGGTGTGGGGGAGATTTTAACTTCCCTGTAATCTCCATCATTTCGCCAAAGCCACCCAAACAAAAATAAGATTTGATAAGAACAACTGCTGCCTTTTCCATTTTATGCAAAAGATGAGAACAAAATTATCTTGAAAAAATGTGTTTTTATTGATCCATAAGCATTACAAATTTATAACTTGTCCATCACACATTTTGCTACTTCATAGCCTCTCCTTCTTGCCCACACATAACCCTCAGGGTTGCACCTGGGCACTCAGTTACAGGCAGGGAACTTGGAGAATTTTATGGATTATAAGAGATTTAAAAGACATGATCCCATCCAGGCACGGCAGCTCACGCCTGTAATCCCAGCACTTTGGGAGGCCAAGGCAGACAGATCACTTGAGGTCAGGAGTTCAAGACCAACCTGACCAACATGGGGAAACCCTGTCTCCACTAAAAATACAAAAAATTAGCTGCTCATGGTGGTGCAAGCCTGTAATCCCAACTACTCGGGAGGATGAGGCATGAGAATTGCTTGAATCTGGAAGGCAGAGATTGTAGTTAGCTGTGTTCACGCCACTGCACTCCAGCCTGGGTGACAGAGTGAGACTCTTTCTCAAAAAAAAAAAAAAAAAAAAAAAAAAAAAAAAAGACATGATCCCAGACGACAAGGACTTCACTTTATTCGGGGAGATAGAGCAGATGTCTACAGAGCACCCGATGTTATGGTAGATGTTTCAGCCCATAGACTCCTTATTGCATTTCGTTTTCTTTTCTTTTCTTTGTTTTTTGTTTTTTTTTTTTTTTTTTGAGATGGAGTTTTGCTCTTGTCACCCAGGCTGGAGTGCGATGGCGTGATCTCAGCTCACTGCAACCTCTGCCTCCCAGGTTCAAGCAATTCTCCTGCCTCAGCCTCTTGAGTAGATGAGATTACAGGCACCTGCCACCATGCCTGGCTAATTTTTGTATTTTTAGTAGAGATGGGGTTTCACCATGTTGGCCAGGCTGGTCTCGAACTCCTGACCTGAGGTGATCAGCCTGCCTTGGCCTCCCAAAGTGCTGGATTTCAGGCATGAGCCACTGCGTCTGGCCTTTGCATTTCTTTATATTCCTTTTATCATCCTCATTTTGACTCTGAGCCCCTAATCCACCCCGTTGATGGAAATTCCATTTCAGGAACATGCTCAGGGTGGTGCCACTGAGGCTCTGTGGTGCCCACTTGTCCCGAGAGGCCCTCTACCTATTGCTCACCAGTCCACACTGATTATTGCTGGGGGTCATTGGTCCCAACCCAGGGGGTCCCTACAGAGCTGCTGCTCTGATGCCCTCATGCTATGTTTGGGGCAGGGGAGCTCTGCCAGGCTGGGAGCCCAGACCAAGAGTCAGCCTCCAGGGCACAGCTCAGCTACTTGTTCTGAGGTCCTGCCGGACTTGAAGACCTCCCTCTCCTCCCGGCAGTGCTGGGGAAGCTCCTCTGAGGGCTGCTGTAACCCACCCTTCTCACTCTTCTCCTCAGTTCTGTTTTCACCAGTGAGCTTAGGCTGGGGGAAATGTGTACTAGGGAGGGATGAGTCTTGCTAGAAACTTCTATCCTGGCCCTAAACCTCATAAAGGCTAAGATTTTAATAAGGAAGAGAAAGGGGGGGAATACGGCACATGAGTGGGGACATAAATTATTTCCAATAATTCCGCTGCATGTGCAGAGGGGTCTTGGTGTTCACCTCCACCCTTGGTGAAGCCAAGTGAAACACAAGAGATAGTGACTTGGTTCCTAGACCCTTCGCTGCTGCGCCAAAGCGTGGGTTACCAAATATCAGCCTTCCCTCGCCCCCTAAACTTTCCCAACTTTCCACCACTTACCCCAAACAATCACCGGTGAATGTGCTCGTTCATTTCACAGGTGTTTATTGAGCATCTACTATGTGCCAAGCACTACATGGGGCTGCAGAGGGGCACAAGAAAGTTCCTGCCTTGCTAATCTACAATGGTGTCTGGTAAGATCAATCAAAACTCCCAAAGGTGCCTGTTCCACCCACTTAATCAGTGAATGCTGTTCTTGGCTATTCCTTTTATTCCTTCGCTAAGCTGTTCCTGTCTCCCCAGTTTCTCAAGGAATTTAAAGGTGAAATGCAGAATGATAGACTCCTAGACCGGACTGGGAAGGCTTTATTTCAGCTGCTCCATTTTCAAGGGGAGCCACTGGGGATCCAAGGTCATGTGGCCAGGATGAGATGCCCACTCTCTTGGTCTCCTGTCCTGGCTCCCTCCTTGTGACCCCACAGCATTTCTTTGCTTTTTAAAGGCCCCTGCCCTCATTCCCTCAGCATCTGTTCCCCCTGTCACTGCCTCCCACCAAGGAAGTCTCCCCTGGACTCAGGTTCTAATCACTGTGACAACTGCCCTCATGCTCTGACCTGCTCCCTGAGGCTCTTTCCCTGCTGCCTAGCAACCCCATCACGTTCCCAATTTGTCTGTGCAGCTCTTAATGAGGCTGCATTGACATGTCCCCTGGTGGTCACTAAAAGCAGAAGGTGGCCCCCTGGTGACGGGCACACCACCAGCAGCCCAAGACACCCAGAACCAAGCCAGACTTTATTTGCTTGTGCCCAGCCCCTGCCACAGCATCTGTCCATCGAGATTTCAGCCACCTCTTGCTCTCCTCCCTGCCACCATCCGACTTGCGAGGACTCCTCTCGCCGAGACTTCTTTCTAGACCAGACTTGTTGCTATGGCTTCATCGTGTTCAAGAAACTGGTACGAAAGGTAAGGGAAAGATGCTGAGCACCCGTACAGCCTCATGGCTGATGGGTGAGAATGTTAAGACAGGCTTAAATCCAAAGGAGACCATTTGTAAACCCATCTCTGGCCTTAGAGGTCATGCTGTTAACCATTATATCTCCCCCACTACACATGTGTGCATGTGTGTGCGTGTGCACACACACACACTTATAAGTATGTGGGAAAGGCATGCACATGTGCACCTAAGATCGTTTGCAAGAGCCCTTTGGGGAGGCAGAGTAAACTATGGAGGGAGATAAAAATGGACCTTCATTTTTTTTCCTTGCTATACTTCTGTGGGTTTAGAATTTTTTTTCTTTTCTTTTTTTTTTTTTTTAGATGGAGTCTTACTCTGTCACCCAGGCTGTAGTGCAATGGTGCGATCTCAGCTCACTGCAACCTCTGCCTTCCAGGTTCAAGCAATTCTCCTGCCTCAGCCTCCCAAGTAGCTGGGATTACAGGCGCCTGCCACCACACCTGGCTAATTTTCACTAAGTTTTGTGTTTTTAATAGAGGTGGGGGTTTCACCATCTTGGCCAGGCTGGTCTTGAACTCCTGACCTCGTGCTCCACCAGCCTCGGCCTCCCAAAGTGCTGGGATTACAGGCGTGAGCACCGCGCCCAGCCGGGTTTAGAATTTTTACAATGAGATATTATTTGTAACATAAAACAAAAATGAAAAGGATCATGCAACAATAAAAATTAAAACTCTGCTCTTCAATCACAGCTGATAAAGCGGCAGTGTGTGATCTGAAGGGCAATTTGAAGTGGCCCCAAGGGCTCCTGCTCAGGCGCTGAGACTCAGGGACCCAGACCCCAGTTCTGTCTCTCGATGGCCATGTGACCTTGCCTGCAAACCTGGGGACTTTGCTGGACGTGGAACCTGGTCTGGAGCCTCTGAGATGGGCACTTGCCATCAGCTTCCCCAGGAACAAGAGGTGCCACTTTAGGTACGGGGCAGGTGAGGAGGCACGGGGCAGGTGAGGAGGCACGGGGCAGGTGAGGAGGCACGGGGCAGGTGAGGAGGCACAGGGACAGGCCGCTGAGCAGCACAGGAGTGGGAGGCCCGGTGGTAGCAGGGCGGGCCTGAGCCACCTTTGGCGCCCTCTTGCTGGATGCCAGTGTCCCTACCGAGTGACGCCCCCTGTGCCAGCCGCTGTGTGCATTTCCCCCACTCACTCCTTGCAGCCCCCTCCCAGGTGCCGCGGTTATCTCCTCATTTTAAAGGGAGAGGAGATCCGCGCACAGCCGCAGCCTTGTTCCGCAGAGCAGGGCTTGCAGCTGGGTCTGGCTGCCTTTCTTGTCTGCATCGCGGTTTCTCCACGTGGACGACGCTGAGTGGAGCGAAGGAAAGAGGTACTGGGAGAAGGCTCGTGGGGCAGGGCCGGATGGGAGGCCTTGCTCCACAGAAGCTCTTAAGAACACAGGCCAGCCACAGGGCCACCAAGACAGATGGGAGCTCAGCTGCAGACCCAGGCTTGGCAGGGGCAACTGTGTCCTTCGTCTGGGCTGGGAGGTCTAACGCAGTGAGAGACAGAACAGGTGTGGACCCCTCAGGCCTGGAGTCTCGGCCAGAGTTGCCCTTCCCAGCTGCGAGAATTTGGCTGCTTTTCTTTTCTTTTTTATTTTTGAGACAGGGTCTCACTTTGTCGTCCAGGCTGAAGTGCAGTGATGCAATCTCGGCTGGCTGTAGCCTCTGCCTCCTGAGCTCAAGTAATCACCCCACTTCAGCCTCCCAAGTAGCTGGGACTTCAAGCATGCACTGCCATGTTCAGCTAATGTGTTTTTTTGGTTTTTAGTAGAGACGGGGGTCTTGCTATCTTGCCCAGGCTTGTCTCGACCTCCTGGGCTCAAGTGATCCTCCTGTTTCAGCCTCCCAAAGTGCTGGGATTATAGGCATGGGCTACTGCACCCGGTGAACTTGGCTTCTTTGCTGCACTTCTCTAGAGCTCTGTTTCATCACTTGCTAAGTGGGGTGATGGCAGCATTGCCATGGGGCACCGTGAGGCTGCAGAGCGTGCCTATTGGGCAAGTGGAGAGGACAGGCATGTGGCGGGGACTTATTATGGGTTGCTTACTGGCATCACCGTCATCATGGACCGGTCCTCTCTCTTCAAGGAGTTCAGTCTAAGATACAGCATCCCTCACTTGCCAAGCCATGGCAGAGTAGCGGGACCTGTAGTCCCTAACACACCGTTAGCATTTGGTGCTTGTGTGCCTCCGCCCTCTGTCTAGGTCTCCGTCTTGCCAGACTCGGCTGAAACATTGCCGCCTCCCGCCTGAGCGACACTTCCTCTTTGGGCTGCAAGGGCGCCTGGTACACACCCCTACGGCTCCTCTCACCTCACCAGGGCATAAAGATCTGCTCCCTTGCCTGCCCTCCTCCTGGGCTGTGAGTGTGGGCTCCGGCTCCTCCCGCTGGCATCCCCAGCATCCGGCCCAGCAGCCAGCAGCGCCTGATTGGGCTCAAGTTTCGCTGAACAAGTGAATTGGGGATGAGAAGGGGGGTAGACAGTGGGGCCCAGACTTGGCATGCAGGGAACAGGCAGGTGGGTGAAGCCTCAAGTAATAAAGTGTAGACAGGAAAGCTGGAGGAGCTCACATCAGCCCAGCCAGGGCCCCTTGCAGAGAACGGGGATCGTCGCGGGGCCTGGGCTGACCTGAAGTTCACCATGCCTGTCTTCTCATCGAGCTTCTTTATCACCTCCCTGACCTGGTACTGGTTCAGGGGGACCTTGTTTTGCTGAGGAGGTGGATGGAACATGTGCAGTTAATAGAACTCTGTTCACCCCTCCCTAGGCACACCCCCCCAAACACACTACCCCCCCAACACACACACCCCACCCCCCCAACACACACCCCCACACACACTACCACACACACACACACCCCACCCCCCAACACACACACTCCCCCACACACACTACCACACACCCCACCCCCAACACACACACCCCCCCACACTACCACACACACACCCCATCCCCCCAACACACACCCCCCACACACACACACCCCACCCCCCAACACACCCACACACCCCACACACTACCACATGCACACACACACCCCACCCCCAACACACACCCCCCCACACTACCACACACACACCCCACCCCCCCAACACACACACACACACACACACACACCCCACACACCTACCACCCCCCCCAACACACACACCCCACACAATGCCTCACTCTTGGGACCATGGAGGGCATCTGATTGAGAGCTCAGGGGAAACTGATTCCACAGCATGGAGGGGCTGGAAAAAGCTCCCTGCCCATGGGTCATTGTCCAGACTCCAAAGGGCCTCCCCTTTTTGGGGGCAATAAGGCAGGAGGAGATCAGAGTCAGGTGGAGCGAGTGACCGGGGGAGGGAACAGGACTCTCCTTTGCATCCTGTGAAGTTCATTCTCACTTCCTGCTGCTGAGTCCTGGCCAGCCTCTTCACCCCCGGCCTGGGCACCGGGCACCGACTGCCTTATCCGTCCCTGCCTGGGCCCCGGGAACTTCTCCTCTGGAGTCCTATTCCTGCAGGGCCCAAGTCTCTCCTGGGACGCTCTGATGATAGACCCCTTCAAGTATGCATTACAGGGGGCTTTCAGTACCTTTATTACATGGGGAGCGAGAGGAATGTGAGATTTCAGGAAAATGATTCCTAAGGTGGAAATGTTGGGACTTTGGGATGTGGTCTCCTCTCTCACTCCCTTTGTTATCTGCCCAGTAGTGAAATGCAATGGGGAGAAAAACCTCAAGATAGAACATGTGTCTCTGAGTGGCATCTCGGGTCACTGGTGGCATCAAGCCACAGCACAGGAATGACTTCAGCAGGGGTTGAGGGAGGTCTTAGGTTCCCCTCTGGGTCTAGATAAATGAGGGGAGTGTCCCATAGCCTGTCCCAGGAAGCTCTAGGAAGTGCTCACAAGCTCTTTTGCTCCTTCTCCTCCTCTCCCCTCTCTCTGACACACAAACTCACACTCACACTCACACACAGCCTGTTGCCACTAGGACCCAGCACACCTCTATCATCACTTTCTGGAACTCATCCACAGACATCTTCATTGTCCCAGTGGGGTTCAAGCTCTTGAAGAAGTCCACGATCGTGATTTTGTGTTGGTCTGCATAGCTCTGAGAGAAGCAGGAGAGACCAGGAGCAAACACTTGGTCTTGTAACAACGATCGCAGGTCCCCCTTCCCTCCCACAAAAGAGCGGCCCATGCTTCCAGGCCTAACAAGGCTAAAAAGGGCAGAAGGCCAAGGTGAGGAGCCTGCGTCTCCCGGGTGTTGGGTGTCCCCTAAGACCAAGAGCCGAGTGCAGACCCACCAGGCATGGCAAAGGTGCATGCCGGGATGATTCCTGTGTGCTCGCCATGCTTCTAGGAGCCCCTTGGCACTGCACAGACGCTCCCTCCATTCCAAAGTTGGAAGGACTGAAGTCAAGGCTGTTCAGGCACCGCAGTGCCACGAGGATGGGACAGTGATCATTATCTACAAACGCAATCTGTTAACACTGGTATAGATGGTGTGCTGTGGATGGCGCGCGGATGTTCAGAGATCAAAAGGTTAAATCACAGCTGTATAATGTGACAGTTTGGCTCTACGAATTCCTAGGATTCTCACAGTTTCACCTCAATGCTCATATGGAAACATACTTTGTTAGAATATTTTTAAAAGGATATTTCATTTTTTTCATTTAAAAAATATAGTCATCCCTTGATATGTGCAAGGGATTGGTTCCAGGACCCCCTCAGATACCAAAATCCACCAATATGAAAAGGCAGGCCCTCCATATCCGTGGGTTTCTCATTCCTCAAATACTGTATTTTGGATCCACATTTGCATATGCAGAACCCACAGGTACGAAGGGCTGACTGTATTTATTGAAAAAAATCCAAATACATAAAAGTGGATGAAATGGCACAGTTCAAACCTGTGTTGTTCAAGGATCAAGTGTATTATTACTCACGTTGCAAGGCAATTTTAGATTAGCAGGAGAAAATTTTAAAAATCACCCATAAATCCAATACCACCACACAGAGGTAACATCTTGGTGTGGACCCTTTTATCTTTTTAACTATCTATCTGACATCAATCTGTCTAACTTCTATCTATCTGTATAACATTTATCTATCTAATCTCTCATCTTTCTACTAAACCTATTGTTTTACAGAACCCACTGTTCACATATGAACACCTTTTCAATGTCATTATAATATTCTTTTCCTCTCTTTTTTTTTATTTTGAAACAGAGTCTCGCTCTGTCGCCTAGGCTAGAGTTCAGTGGCTCGATCTCGGCTCACTGCAACCTCTGCCTCCCAGGTTCAAGCAATTCTCCTGCCTCAGCCTCCCGGGTAGCTGGGATTACAGGCATGCGCCATCATGCACAGCCTATTTTTGTATTTTTAGTAGAGATGGGGTTTCACCATGTTGGTCAGGCTGGTCTTGAACTTCTGACCTCAAGTGATCCTTCCACCCCAGCCTCCCAAAGTGCTGGGATTACAGGCATGAGCTACTGCATCCGGCCTTACAATATTACAATATTCTTTTTGGTCCTTTTTAAGTATTTTTTTTTCTCTTCCCCGCACCCGGCCTTACGATATTACAGTATTCTTTTGGGTCCTTTTTAAGTACTTTTTTTCTCTTCTCCCCCGCCACCCCCCTTCCCCCCGCCACCCCCCCCCCCCCTTCCTCTCACTCTCAGAAACTCCCAGACAGCGTCCTACTGTATCGATAGCTATTTCTGGCAACGTCCTTCTCACGAAGCATTTCCTCAGGGTTCAGCCCTGGGGCCCTTGCTCTTTGTTCCCCACACTTCCCTTTCTGGAGTGCACGGCCTCCCACCCTTCCGGAGTGCCTCCCAAAGCTACATTTCCAGTTCTCCATCCTCCACAGCTGCTGGACACCCCACCGGCACTTCAATCAACACATCCAAAGTGCACCTCGTGCTCTGAAGCAGCACACTGCTGCTGAGCGCTATGGCAGATGCCATGGGTGAGCCCTCGGCACCCACTGCTGTTTCTTCACAGCAGGCTTCTCATCCATGCAGAGCCTGGAAAGCTGAAAGCGACATTCCCCAAGTCCCCTTGCAGCTGGGGGTCAGAATGGATGGCCTTTGCCAAGCACCTGCCTGAGATGTAAGTGTGAGGCTTGTGTCTGATTTGAGAGAGGCAGGTGGTGGGCAGCGGCTGTGGTTGCTTCATGACTGAGCGGGGCATTCCGCAATCATGCAGCTTCTTGATTATAGCAGAAGCAGCAACTCTTGGCAACTCAGTTGGGGTGCTTTGAGAGCCATTTCTGGAATCTAACAAGAGTCTGTTTGTTCAGCCCTCCTGACATTTCTTTGATCTCTCTCCTGTAATAAACCCCCGTGTGCTTAGCCTAGTTGGAGTAAATTCTGTGGCCAGCAACTAAGAACCTTGCCCAGCTACTTTGGTAGGTGCTACTACTAAGACCCCACACAGCCCTGCCCTGGAGGAGTTCACAGGTTGCAATGCAAGGGTGAAGCCAAGGGCTTCGGGAACACGAAGGGCGTTCGCTCTTGACCAGGGAATCCAAGAAGGGTTTCCCCAGGAAGTGACATTGTGTAGAGACCTGAGAACGGGTAGGAATGAGCGAGACCCAGAGGGCAAGAAGAAAAGTGTTCCAGGTGGAAGGACCTGCCCTGACCGTACACAGGCCTGCAGTGAAGGGAGAGCTGATGCAAAGAGGATCCGGAAGCAATCCAGTGGGGCTAGAACGTGGAGAGACAGTAAGGGCCAGGTGGCAGGCACTTTCCCCATCTGCACTTCCCTGCCTCTGGCAATCTTTCCTTCAGTCCCTTGGCCTTGAAATCTTGGGTTATCTTTGGGTTTCTTTTATCATCACAGGCCTTCCTATCCCAACACACACACACACACACACACACACACACTCACATGCATGCAATACACACCCCCACATATCCAACCATTCGCCAAGTCCTAGAGATGTTTCCATAATGATAGCTCTTACATCTGCCCTTCAATTCCATTGTTATTCTCAGCCAAGCCATCATTCCACATCTAGAGTGCTACAATAGTGTGCTTGTTTGGTTTCCTACTCTTTTTTCTTACCCTCTTCAATTCACTCCCCATTGCCAGAACTCCTCAATCCTGCTGGATTCGCATCACATCCACTGCCCAGCAGCTCTCACCGGCCCCCTGTTCCCGATGGAATCAAACTCGAACTCAGAGCCTAAAATCTGAGGGCTGCCACTTGCAGCCCAGCCTCCCTTGCCAGCTTTGCCTCTTGGGCTCCTCTATGAACCTGGAGTCATGTGTTAGTGTCCCCTGAACATGCTGTGTGCGGTTCCACCTCAGCACCTTTGCTGGCAGGAGCCTCTCGCCGGAACACCCTCCCACTCTCTGTGGCTCACCTCAATCTTTGACATTCTTCAAGGCCCTTACCCACTCCCATCTCTTCCAAGAAGTCATCCTTTTCTGGTTGCCGAATCCTACGTTGATCTCTTATTTGGATTCTGACTACATTTTCTGCCTCTGTCACTTATTTATTATTTATCACATGACACTTTTTTTTTTTTTGAGACAGAGTCTCGCTCTGTTGCCCAGGCTGGAGTGCAGTGGCATAATCTCAGCTCGCTGCAGCCTCCGCCTCCTGGGTTCAAGCGTCGAGCGATTCTTGTGCCTCAGTTTCCCAAGTAGCTGGGATTATAGGCATCTGCCACCACGCTCGGCTAATTTTTGTATTTTTAGAAGAGATGGGGTTTTGCCATGTTGGCCAGGCTGGTCTCAAACTTCTGACCTCAAGTGATCCACCCGCTTTGGCCTCCCGAATTGCTGGGATTACAGGCATAGCCACCGTGCCTGGCCATATGAAACTTTCTATGTTCTGTGGGTCGTCACTGTAGCCATCCCATCTTTCCAATGAGATTGTTGATCCCCTGAGGGGAAGGGCTATGTTGGACTCTGCATGTTTGGTCTCCAAGATTCTTTTTCTGTGTGTCTTTAAAACAAGAGGTGGGGTCCCCACTTTGCATCAGACAGCTCCATTCCTGTTCACTGGAGCACCCTGCTCCCCTTGCAAAACAGGTTTGCCTTGGTTCCATCTGAAGTCATCTTACCTGTACAAATACTGGACACCGCTTTGTCTTCTAGAATTTTTCACATAACAATTTTCATGTGGGAGCTCTTTTATTTAGTTCTAGAAACTGAGGCACAGAGCAGACCCACTGGGGGCAGGAAGCAGCCCGGGGACACACCCTGCAGAACGTGCATTGGCAGAGCAGCATCCCCACGCCTGCTCCCCAGGTAGTAACCGCTCTGCGGCCAGCAGCAGGCTCCTTGCCCCCACTGCAGGGTGAGAGGCCCGCTGTGGAAACACCAAAGCAGGGTCTGAGCACTGTTCTGCAAGACAATGGGACTAGAGGAGCAATAACATCCCTTTCGGCGCTACTATTCTCTGATTTTGTATTTCCACTGTTACATCTGCCTCCTGTGATTGCCAGAGCTAATCTAAGAAAAGATGAGTTGGGGGCAAGTTATCATTAGAAACAAAGGACTCGAGTGTTTCTCTTTGGCTGAACCCGCCAAATAGCCATCCTGACCACAAGGATGTCTTGACATCCTTACCAGCTGTTGGAAAGAACAGCTTTACCTCTGCCTCCTGTGATTGCCAGAGATAATCTAAGAAAACATGAGTCGGGGGCAAGTTACCATTAGAAACAAAGGACTGAAGTGTCTCTCTTTGGCTGGAGCTGCCAAATAGCCATCCTGACCGCAGGGATGTCTTGATATCCTTACCAGCAGTTGGAAAGAAACTATGTCTATAATAAGCAGGTGCTTGTTCTATACCAGGCATCCTTCTAAGCACTTCATGCATTTGACATAATTTGATTTTCCAAGCAATCCTACTGGGTGGCTACTGTTGTGTCCATTCTGCAGGTGAAGAGACTGTGACCCAGAGAGCTTTAGTAACTTGCCCTTGGTCATACGCTAGCAGGTGGAGGAGTCCGGGTGGGATAATCCATTCTGTCCACCTGCCCCCTTCAGCTAGATCTCAGCCCTTCCCTTCCTCTGGAGATCAGGAAGCACTGCTGAGGGATCTGGTAGCCACGGAGAATATTCATTCCATGTCTGCTGTCCAAGGGACTGAGACATTCCTTATCAGAGAGGGTTGTACAGACACTGTGGGGAGGGAGAAGTCTGGAAACTGATTTGGAGCCATTGGCCAGCTTTCCCCAGGGCTCCCTGGAGGCCCTGAGAGGAAGGCAGGAGCTCACCTGGATCAGTTTCATGGGGTTTGTCAACAAGAAGATGGTTTTCTTGGGAGAGAGGCCTTGTACTGCCTTGAATACCACGTCCAGCTGCGGGTGAACGGCATACACTCCGTCCAACGTTTTCATGAACTGCTCGGACACCAGCACGTTCTGTGACAGGGAGAGAGGGGACCCATGATGATGAGGGCACTGCCATCGTGCCTGCCCAACCAGTGCACCCTACCCCTTCCACCCAAGCCAAAGTCAGGAAGTTTTGTCTCTTCCAGTTTGTTCTCAGTGCTGCTCCTGGACTGGGATAGTTCGGGTATTTTAGAGCTTGTAAATTGACTTGTAAGTTTCCTGGGTAATTTTGATGGGATGTTTTTGTTGAGTGCTGGTGGCTTGTCACCTGCTGCCAGTTCAGCTCCACTCTCAAATGGCATCTGCATCTGACAGATGATTTACAGCTTTGGAGTGGCAAGATAGTCCTTAAACAAAGCCCTGAAATGTCCATGTCTGCGTGAGTGTTGTTTGTCAGAGAAAGTGCCCTGGAAGAGGATCCCTGATTCCAATAAGTGACCAGGGACAAAATGGAAACTTCCCCTTCTGGAAGTGCCCTCAGAGCTGGTTTGTAGGACATGGGAGAAAATGTGTCCTGTGAAATAGTGTTTGATCAAACCTGGGCTCCACCAGTTTGGTCAGCCTGCTTCATTCCTCAGATGTGGCTCGGAGTACATTTTGCCCTTTCAAAGAATTAAACCCCTGTTTAAGGGCAGAAGGCTTTGTAGAGATTCTAGAGAAAGTTCTAGGAGCATCTACAAAAGAGGAATTTCTATACTGTTCAGAGTTATGGAGGCATTGTTGACAAAAGGGAAGGAGAAGGCTAATACAGGCTCGATGTCTCAAGCCTGTAATCCCAGCACTTTGGGAGGCCAAGGTGGGTGTATCACTTGAGGTCGGAAATTCAAGACCAGCCTGGCCAACATGGTGAAACTCTGTTTCTACTAAAAATACAAAAAAATTAGCCAGGTGCGGTAGTGGGTGCCTGTAATCCCAGCTACTCAGGAAGCTGAGGCAGGAGAATCGCTTGAACCTGGGAGGTAGAGGTTGCAGTGAGCCGAGACTATGCCATTGCACTCCAGCCTGGGCGACAGAGTGAGACTCCATCCCCAACACCCAAAAAAAAAAAAAAAAAAAAAAAGGCTAATTCAGACCTATTTGTTCTGGTAGGCTTATTAAGTGCCACTGTGGTCACAGCTTACGGGTTTATGGGCCATCTAGGGCCTAAACAGCACCATTTCTTTTATGTTTCTTTTTTTTTTTTTTTTTGAGATGGAGTTTCATTCTTGTTGCCCAGGCTGAAGTGCAATGGTGCAATCTTGGCTTATCACAACCTCTGCCTCCCAGGTTCAAGTGATTCTCCTGCTTCAGCCTCCCAGGTAGCTATGATTACAGGCATGCGCCACCATGGCCGGCTAATTTTGTATTTTTAGTAGAGACGGGGTTTCTCCATGTTGGTCAGGCTGGTCTCGAACTCTTGACCTCAGGTGATCCACCCGCCTCGGCCTCCCAAAGTGCTGGGATTACAGGCGTGAGTCACCGCGCCTGAGAGAACATTTCTAATGTTCTCTCAAACACACCAAGGCAGTGCCTGGGTCCATGCCTTCCAACGTGTACTGCCTGGGAGAGGGAAATACAGATGCCAACAAAGTCTGAATCTGCAGTGGAGACTCAGGGGTGAAGGCAGCATCCTGGCCTGCAGATTGAGAACTGGAGCATGAGGATGGGGAAAGGAAGGAAGAGCCAGGAAGCACAAGAAGGGCCTGCGGCAGGGAGGACAGGTGAGAGAACAAAGGGAAAGAAAAGCAGCTATGTTTGACAATGTCTCAAAATCCGTGGCAAGTAAAAACCCACATTGTATTAATTATTCAGTTTTAAGGAGCTTGGGTTTACATATTCAAATGCCATCACTGGAGGCTGAGTGCAGTGGCTCACACCTCTAATCCCAGCACTTTGGGAGGCTGAAGTGGGTGGATCACTTGAGGTCGGGAGTTCGAGACCAGCCTGGGCAAAATGGTGAAACCCCATCTCTACTAAAAATACAAAAAATTAGCCTGGCATGTTGGCACACACCTGTAGTCCCAGATACTCTGGAGGCTGAGGCACAGAACTGCTTGAACCCAGGAGGCGGAGGTGAGCCGACATCACATTACTGCACTCCAGCCTGGGCAACAGAGTGAGACTCTGTTTCAGTTTACTTATATGTAAAATGGGAAAATGAGGAAAAGCACTTGTTATGGGTTGAATTTTGCCCCCTCCCAAAAAAAGATGTTGGAGTTCTAACCCCTAGGACCCGTGAATGTGAACTTGTTTGGAAACAGGGTCTTTGCAGATGGTCAAGTTAAAATGAGGTACTTAGGGTGGGTACTAATCTAATAAGACTGTGTCCTTATATCAAGGGGACATTTGGATACAGAGATAGGGAGAATGCCATGTGAAGCAGAAGGTAGAGATGGGAGTGTTGCTTCTACAAGCTAAGGAACACCAAAGCATGACAGGAACCATCAGAAGCCAGGGGAGAGGTCAGGAACAGATTCTCTCTCACAGCCCTAAGAAGGAATCAGGCCTGCTGACACCTTACTCTTGGACTTCTAGCCTCCAGAACTGTGAGACAATACATGTCTGTTGTTTAAGCCACCCAGTGTGTGGTACTTCACAGCAGCCTTAGGAAATTAATACAGTATTCTACCTACCTTCTAGAGTAGGATAAAAATGAGCTGGAATATATAAAATCACTTTGGGAAAAACAGAGTATAAAATGGTAGACAAGTATAGGCTATCATCAGATGCCACCTGTGTGCTGATTCAGGCAAGAGTTCCCAGCAGGATCTGAAGTCACCTCCTGGGGCTTTCCTCCTTTATCAAGAGATTTTCACCCAGAAATACTGCTCTGAGTCTAACAGGCCAACTCATGAAATGAAAATAAAGTATGTGTTTTAATACCCAGATTCTACAAATTTTGTGATTCTGGAACCATTCAGGGACCGAGGGCCACTCATCTGCAAAGCTGATGTTAAAGAATTCTGTTTTGGAGTCCTCCTGCCTTTCTTTTTGGCATTTTCTTATCTCTACTCTCAGGTTTTCATAGCCCTAGTTTCTAGCATCTGGTAAATTATTTCTCACTATGATGTTACTGACTAATAGCTACTCTTCCTAAAAGGATCCCTGGAGAGGGCAGAGCTGTAACAAAAGAAGTGACCCTTTCATGGAGCACTTGTGTGAGGGCCTGTGAGGGATAGAGCTGTTGGCTCTGGCCAACACAGAGTATAGAGTGGACAGGGTCACTGGCTTGTGCCCAGACGCAAGCAACTACCATTTGATCACTTACGGAAATATCAAGCTCTTCCATCCTGGATTTGGGGTTCCTCTTGATAGCCAGGATAAGTAAAATAGCCCCATCCATATTTATGGGATTCAGGAAAAGCTATAGAGGGAGAATCAAGACAAGAGGAGGCTGAGATGGGAGGAGAGGCTGGCCCAGAGCACAGTTTCTACATCTCATCAAATCACAACCTCTGTCTCACACCCAGACTTCACTGTAAGTAATTATCTCCTTGTCCTTCTGTTTGTTTATCCATCTGTCTGCCTATCTCACTGCTCATCCATCCATCCATCCATCCATTCATCCATCCATCTACCCACCCATTTATCCATCTCACTGCTCTCCCATCCATCCATCCATCTATCCACCTACCCACCATCTGTCCATCTCACTGCTCATCCATCCAACCATCTATCCATCCATTCATCCACCTATATACTCATCCATCTCACTGCTCATCCATCCGCCTATCCATCCATCCATCCATCCATCCATCCATCCATCCATCCATCCAACCACCAACTTATCCATCTCACTGCTCTCCCCTCCATGCATCCATCCACTCACCCACCCATCTATCCATCTCACTGCTCATCCACCCAACCATCTATCTATTCATCCACCTGTCCATCTCCTCATCCATCCACCTCTCATCCATCCATGCATCCATCCATCCATCCATCCATCCACTCACTTATCCATCTCACTGCTCATCCATCCATCCATCCATCCACTCACTTATCCATCTCACTGCTCATCCATCCATCCATCCATCCACTCACTTATCCATCTCACTGCTCATCCATCCATCCACCCATGCATCTGTCCATCCAACTGCTCATTTATCCAACCATCTCATCTACTCATCCATCCACCTGTCATCCATCCATCCATCCAGCCAGCCAGCAATCTGTTCATCTCACCGCTCATCCATCCATCCATCCATCCATCCATCCATCCATCCATCCATCCATCCAGCACATATTAATTAGAGGCTTGCCATATGCCAGCTACTGCACTAAGCACTGAGGGACACACAGGCAGACATGGCAAGGTTTCTGCCCTCGGGTAACTTAACACTGTAATTGGGGGAGACAGGCAAACAAGCCAATAGCATCAGAAGTGTTATGACAGCAGTGACAGAGGTACACCTGGGTACTGCAGGAGCAAGGAAAGGAGCATGCAGCATAGGGGAGGGGAACATGGAGCTAAGCCTTGCAGGACTAATGAGGATTAGTGAGGTCTGAGGAAGGGGGGCAAAACCAGAGGAGGAAACAAGATTCACCAAAGAAGAAAAGAGTAGGCAAGTGCAAAGGCATAGGGGTGTGAAACAGCAAGAGATGTTTGTGAGCAGAAGCAGAGAGAATGAGGCCACAGAGCTGGGATGGGCCACATCATGGAGAACCTTATAGGCTTGGAGAAGGAACAAGGACATTATCCCAGTGGAGCTAGGAGCTGCTGAAGCATGGATGGAAGTTAATGGAAGGGACTGTGGAGCCTGGTGGCTCTGCTTACCAGCTGCCTGGCCTTGCATTAATTCCCTGATCACTTTGTACTTATCACCTATGGCTGCTCTGAGGACTTACCATATCAATTCAGGCAAAGCATTAAAACAAGTGCCTGGTATGCAGTATGCTGTCAATGAACAATAGTTCTTATTATTGAAGGCTTTCAGCTAAGTGGCTTCAACATGAGGCAGCCAAAACTCTTACTGAGCCCCTAGTATATGTCAGCTGCGTCCCAGGCTCTGATGTACTCCAGTGAGAAAATGCAGACTAGGGCCTGGACCTCGTGGAGCTCAGCATCTGGAATCCTTTGCTGGACTCACTTCCTAATGGGAATTCCTTATTTTTCCAAGCTTAGGGCAAGGGGCATCAGGGCTGGATGTGGAGACCCATAGATAATTCCTGTGGCAAAGTTGATGTGGTCTCCATGATGGCCAAACTAAGAGTTTTGTCTTAAACTTTTCTCTTTTACTTCTAAAACATTTTAGAAAATTGAAATATATTCATTACATATGGTCATTGTGGAAAAATGAGAAAAGCGGTAAAAAATGGTTTAAACCATGTATACCCACAAAACAGCAAAGACCTCTATTGCCATTTTGCTGAGGCAACTGCTTAATCTTTTAAAATTCAGTTTCTCAGACTGTCCCTGGCTTCCTCAGCCACTGGGGCTGAGCCACCCACAGCCTGGGTCAGTCTCTGTCTGAGTTGTGCCTGGCCCCGCTCCACCCCAGCTGGGACTCCCAGATCTCCTGGTCACTAGATGGCCAGTCTGTTTGGTCTGTAGTCACTGTGCTCCTTCTGCCTGTCAGAATCTGGCTTCCTCCTGTCCTCTTAGCAGCTCCTCATGGTTGTCCTCTCAGATGGCAGCCCCTTCCTCACTGTCTCCTCACTGCTTTCCTTCTTCAGGACCCTCACATCTGTGGTCTCTCCAACCACCCTCACATCTTGAGGGAGTTGGAGTTGCCATGGAAAACCACGTACAGCAGGCTTCCCTCTGCCTCCTGCTACTTGTGTGGCATAAGCAATCACACAGCCTCAGTTTTCTCATCTGACAAGTGGGGCTAACAGAGCCCACATTACCAGGTGAGGCTATGAGTAACGACAGCTGGCTCTTGGCAGGTGCCCCAGAAAGGGGGATGATTAATAGAAGTCCTCACCTTTCATTTATTTTCCAACTGCTCAATAGCATCTATATTATAAATTAGCATCTACTAGTAAATTAATTTAAAATGAAATATGTATTCATTAATTCATTCATTCATCAGAAGCACACTGGGCTTCTACAGTGTGCCCAACACTATGCTAGGTATGAGGGACTAGGTATGAGGAGTTTAATGATGGGCAAAACCAGTCTTCATTCTTTTTTTTGAGACAGAGTCTTGCTCTGTCACCCAGGCTGGAGTGCAGTGGCATGGTCTCGGCTCACTGCAACCTCCGCCTCCTGGGTTCAGTGATTCTCCTGCCTCAGCCTCCCAAGTAGTTGGGATTACAGGCATGCACAATCACGCCTGGCTAATTTTGTATTTTTAGTAGAGACAAGGTTTCACCATGTTGGCCAGGCTGGTCTTAAACTGGTGACCTCAAGCGATCCACCCACCTTGGCCTCCCAAAGGGCTGGGATTACAGGCATAAGCCACCGCACCTGGCCCAAACACAGTCTTCATTCTGATGAAGCTTTCACATTTGAGGGGATGACAGGCGAGCAAAGAGCCCTCACATGCATGGAATTAGGAAGGGCAGCAAGTTCCATGGGAAGTAGGGAGCAGGGCTCTGGGAGCAGGTCCCCTAGACGGAGGATCCCAGCAGCAAGCAAGTGGAGGCGGAGTGGCCAAGCCTCTGTAGTAGGAGGAAAGGAGTGGAGAGAAGACCAGGGGGTCTTGGGTGCAGAGCAAGGGAGAGCACCGGGTGGACTGAGGCTGGAGGGGCACTTGGGGCTCAGCGAACAGGATCTGAGCAACAGGAAGCCATGCAGGGGTCTAAGCTGAAAGACAGGAGACTGAGGGGCTGGGGGAAGGGGAATGGATGTCAGATTTGTGTTCAAAAAGCACATTCTGAGGGCTAGGCACAGTGGCTCATGCCTGTAATCCCAGCACTTTCGGAGGCCGAGGTGGGAGGATGGTTTGAACCTGGGAGGCGGAGGTTGCAGTGAGCCAAGATTGTACCACTGCACTCCAGCCTGGGGGACAGAGCCAGACCCTGTCTCAAAACAAAACAAAACAAAACAAAAAGCACACTCCGGTGGCAATGTGGAGAAGATCCTGAAGGAGACCCAGATGGGAGGAAGGTGGAGAAGATCCCGAAGGAGACCCAGATGGGAGGAAGGAAGACCTGTTAGAAAGATCTGCAGTGTACCAGGGAGCACTGAGGGTGACACTGGCTTTATAGTAGAGAATGGTCACTGCATTTACAGTCAAGAGATGGTAAAAAGTACATGCATATATGAAGTACAGATATTCCCAATTATTCTCTCCAGTACTCTGCAGCCCCCAACTTATCCCAACACATACACAAACACACACACACACACACACACACACACACACCCTTTCCAGCTGAAGACTACCTTCAGAACTCTGAGGCTTTCATTGGATTCCAGTCCTTTGCTGATTTTGGAGGCCCCTTCATTGCCGATGTCATTGCCACCGATATCCAGGTAGACCAGGCAGCGGTTGAGTCGGAGGACTTCCCCTAGGGCCAGAGCCACCTCATTCCCAAAGCCATTCATGGAGAGATCCAGCTTTGTCAGGGTCACATTACCCTCCAGGAAGAGGGGAGAACAGCACCAGCATCAAGGTTACGCGTGACTCATCCAACCAAAAGGGTCCCGATTTCTACCCCCTGTTGGCATCCAGACCGGGTGCTCAGTGGTCCCCAGGACTGATGGGTCTGCCAGATCATTCAGAGCTCCCAGCTGGGCTCAGTCTCAAGTACTCATGAGACTCCCTCCCTTTGGCTTCTGGTCATTCCCTACCCACTAATTAAACTGTCCTCTTGAAGTGTATCCAAAGATGTCACCCTGGCCTCAGCAGATACGATTATACTAAAGAATAATGTGCAGGCCAGGTGCAGTGGCTCACGCCTGTAATCCCAGCACTTTAGGAGGCTGAGGTGGGTGGATCACAAGGTCAGGAGTTCGAGACCAGCCTGGCCAACATGGTACAACCCCGTTTCTACTAAAAATACAAAAAATAGCCGGGCATGGTGGCGGGCACCTGTAGTCTCAGCTACTCAGGAGGCTGAGGCAGGAGAATCGCTTGAACCAGGGAGGTGGTGGCTGCAGTGAGCCGAGATTGCACCACTGCACTCTAGCCCGGGCCACAGAGCAAGACTCCATCTCAAAAAAAAAAAAAAAAAGTGCATCCAGGAATTGTGGGAGGGAGAACAATAACTTGAAAAGTATTTGATGAGAGCCCAGTATGCCCTCATTGATGGTGACCATGAGGAAGAGGCTTAGGATGGCAGGATGGGAGGCCCTGGCTGTCCTCAACTGGGCTCCACACATCACTCCTGGAGAGTGCCTTACCCGGAGACCATTGCACAAGGCCACAGCTCCCCTTGTGTGGAAGTTATTCCAGCTCAGATCCAGTGACGTGAGCCCCACGTTGATGGCTGAAACAGGGAGGGAATCGGCTTAGCATCTCCCACAGCCCAGAAAACCCATTCTCAGAGTTAACAGATGTCCATGACACTGGGGATAAAGACCACTCAGTGGTCATGCAAGTAAAATTCTCAGATAATAATTTTTTTAGTTATTCATTTAAACACAAAATTGTAAGATGATCCCCAAAGCTGGCAAAGATGTGGTGAAATAATCCTCCTTACATAGTTTAGGTGGGAAGGAAATTGGTATAGTCTATTTGGCAGATATTATCTGATCACAGATATTTTCCCATTAAAATGTGCATACCCTACTCACCTCTGAGACTCTACCTAAGACTACAGCACAGAATATGGGAAGAGCAAGGTGCTTGTAGATGTTTACCATGGCATCATTTATAAAAGTAAGAATTAGCCAGGCACAGTGGCTCACACCTGTAATCCCAGCACTTTGGGAGGCTGACATGGGCAGATCACGAAGTCAAGAGATCGAGACCACCCTGGCCAACATGGTGAAACTGCGTCTCTACTAAAAATACAAAAATTAGCTGGGTGCGGTGGCGCGTGCCTGTAGTCCCAGCTACTCAGGAGGCTGAGGCAGGAGAATCGCTTGAACCCGGGAGGCAGAGGTTGCAGTGAGTGGAGATCACGCCACTGCACTCCAGCCTGGCGACAGAGCGAGACTCTGTCTCAAAAAAAAAAAAAAGTGAGAATTATTTGGCCAGGCACGGTGGCTCACACCTGTAATCCCAGCACTTTGGGAGGCCGAGGCAGGTGGATCACCAGAGGTCAGGAGTTTGAGACCAGCCTGGCCAACATGATGAAACCCCGTCTCTACTAAAAATACAAAAATTCACTGGGTGTGGTGGCACACACCTGTAGTCCCAGCTACTCAGGAAGCTGAGGCAGGAGAACTGATTGAACCTGGGAGGCGGAGTTTGCAGTGAGCCAAGATGGTGCCATTGCACTCCAGCCTGGGTGACAGAGCAAGACTGCATCTCAAAAATAAATAAATAAAAGCAAGAATTATTTATCTGGTGGAATATTATGAATTAAAATAGACAGAAGTAGCTGGAAAACATCTTCAGGGGCTGTATTTACACAGGAAGGCTGTGATGGACCTGGCATATTACGTCACATGATGCCTATCATGGCAGGCCACGGCTGCAGTGGTGACTCCAGAATTTCTCTCCAGCAGAGGCTCAGGGGCACAATCAGTTGGAAGTGGGGAGGCACCAGGCTTGGCGAGAAGCTGGGTTTGCACAGAAATCATACTTTTGTTTTGACCTGAAGATGATTTTGCTTACATGTTCCACAGGGTTGGAACATCCTATTTAAACACATTATTATTGTTGTTTTTATTTGGGGAGGGCAGTTATGCCAAGGAGGCCATTGATGGAAAGGCTAAAGTCCTCTTGAACCATTACTGAATGGGAGGATAATGGGAGGAATTGCCTTTAGGCCTCTGGCCCAGGAATAATGTCTTATTTCTTTTCTTTCTTTCTTTCTTTCTTTTTTTTTTTTTTTTTTTTGAGACAGAGTTTTGCCCTTGACAATCTCGGCTCACTGCAACCTCCGCCTCCTGGGTTCAAGCGATTCTCCTGCTTCAGCCTCCCGGGCAGCTGGGATTATAGGCGCCTGCCACCACGCCCAGCTAATTTTTTGTATTTTTAGTAGAGACAGGGTTTCATCATGTTGGTCAGGCTGGTCTCGAACTCCTGACCTCAGGTGATCCACCCGCCTCGGACTCCCAAAGTGCTGGGATTATAGGCATGAGCCACTGCACGGGCCTATTTCTTATTTTTCATGGACAGTGCACTACGTTCTGATCATGCTTCTCTTTGTGTCAACCCTGGGTGTGAGTTTTTAGTAAAGTGCACAACACCTTATATAATTTTGGGAACAAACTTTCTCCTGCCTTCATTACCCCCTCCCCTCCTTCACTCTCTTTTTACCCTTATTTCCTCTTCTCTGCCAATTCCCTCATTTAAGCTACACCTTGCACACCTGCATCACTCAAATGGCCACACAAGTTAGATTATAATTCTGATCTCACCACTTACTACCCATGTGATCCCAGGCAGGTTACTTATCCTTCCTTTACATCTGTTTCCTTATCTGTACGATGGAGATATCAACCTGTATAGAGTTGTTTTGTTTTGTTTTTTTGAGACGGGGTCTCCGTCTGTCGCCCAGGCTGGAGTGCAGTGGCGCAATCTCCGCTCACTGCAAGCTCCACCTTCCAGGTTCACGCCATTATCCTGCCTCAGCCTCCCGAGTAGCTGGGGCTACAGGCACCCACCACCATGCCTGGCTAATTTTATGTATTTTTAGTAGAGACGGGGTTTCACCGTGTTAGCCAGGATGGTCTCAATCTCCTGACCTTGTGATCCGCCCGCCTCGGCCTCCCAAAGTGCTGGGATTACAGGCGTGAGCCACCACGCCTGGCCCTATATAGAGTTTTTTTTAAATGAGGATTGATGTAAAATGCCCAATTTGATGCCTGTCACATAGCAATCACTTCAAATAATAAGTGTTGGGTTTTTTTTTTGTTTTTTGGGTTTTTTTTTTTTGAGGCAGAATTTCCCTCTTGTTGCCCAGGCTGGAGTGCAGTGGCACGATGTCTGCTCACTGCAACCTCTGCCTCCCAGGTTCAAGTGATTCTCCTGCCTCACCCTCCCGAGTAGCTGGGATTATACACCCAAGTCACCACGTCCAGCTAATTTTTTGTATTTTTAGTAGAGACAGGTTTTCACCATATTGGCCAGGCTGGTCTTGAACTCCTGACCTCAGGTGATCCACCCGCCTCGGCCTCCGAAAGTGTTGGGATTACAGGCATGATCTACCCCGCCCAGCAATAGTAAGTGTTTTTAAAAGCTGCACTTGCAGTACGATTATAACAATTTTAAAAGACAGCACAGGCCCGGGGCAGTGGCTCACATCTGTAATCCCAGCTCTTTGGGAGGCCGAGGAGGGTGGATCACTTGAGGTCAGGTGTTGGAGACCATCCTGGCCAACATGGTGAAAACCCATCTCTACCAAAAATACAAAAAATTAGCTGGGTGTGATGGCTTGGGCGTATAATCCCAGCTACTCAGGAGGTTGAGGCACGAGAATTGCTTGCACCCGGGAGGCAGAGGCTGCAGTGAGCCAAGATTGTGCCACTGCACTCCACCCAGCCTGGGCAACAGAGCGAGACTCCGCCTCAAAAACAAAACAAAAGAGAGAGCACAGTCTGTCTCATGTTAAATTTATGACCTCAGTTTTCAGACAGAGACTCAAACTGCCCCACATGGAAAGGTGCTTCCATTACATGTTGCTCCTCCCTCCTGCATGGTATTTTATACCTTCTGCTCTCCCATCAACCCTAGTGGTCTGAACTGAACTTTCAGCTGAAGATCTTGCCTCCTACTTCACTGAGAAAATAGCGGCAATGACAGGCTTCAAATGCCACCATGAAATCTACCCACTTACTGCACCCGCACCCACCCTTTCCTCGTCCATTTTTCAATGAATGAACTGTCCCTCCTGCTCTCTCAGGCCAGCGAGCTCCGCACTTTTGTTCTGGACTCTATTGCCTGCAGCCTTCTCATGGACTTTGCTCCTGTAATTACCTCCTCCTTCTTCTGTAGCATCAGTTTATTCTTCTTTCTTCCTCTCAGCATTTTCCATCCTTAAGAACTCTCCTTGGACTCTATGTCTCCCTTGGCTCCTGCCCCCTTTTTCTGTTCCAACCTTCCCAGCAGAACTTCTGTGGTTGCGTATAGTGTTCTTTTTGCTTTGCATCCTATTTTCTTTTTCTTTTTGGAGGACAGGGTCTCACTCTGTTGCTCAGGCTGGAGTGCAATGGCATGATCACAGCTTACGATAACCTCTAACTCCTGGGCTCAAGCAGTTCTCCTGCCTTAGCCTCCCAAGTAGCTGGGACTATAGGCATGTGCCACCATGCCCAGCTAGTTTTTGATTTTTTTTTTTTTTGAGATGGAGTCTCACTCTGTCACCCAGGCTGGAGTGCAATAGCAGGATCTCGTCTTTTATTTATTTATTTATTTATTTATTTATTTATTTTTGAAAGTAATATTTTATTTTATTTTTTTATCATACTTTAAGTTTTAGGTTACATGTGCACAACGTGCAGGTTTGTTACATATGTATACATGTACCATGTTGGTGTGCTGCACCCATTAACTCGTCATTAAACATTAGGTATATCTCCTAATGCTATCCCTCCCCACTCCCCCCACCCCAGGATCTCATCTTACTGCAACCTCTGCCTCCCAGGTTCAAACGGTTCTTGTGCCTCAGTCTCTCTAGCAGCTGGGATTACGGGCGCACACCACTACACCGGCTAATGTTTGTATTTTTAGTAGAGACAGGGATTCACCATGTTGGCCAGGCTGGTCTGGAACTCCTGACCTCAGGTGATCCACCCGCCTCAGCCTCCCAAAGTGCTGGGATTACAGGTGTGAGACACTGTACCCAGCCCAACTTTTGAATTTTTTGTAGAGAGTGGGTCTCACTATGTTGCCCAAGCTGGTCTTGAGCTCCTGGCTTCCCATCTTGGCCTCCCAAAGCACTGGGATTACAGGCATGAGCCACTGTGCCAGGCCTCCATTTTCAACTCAACCTCCTCCATTTGGGTTTCCATAACTCACCCACTCCACTAAAACAGCACTTTTTTTTTTTTTAAATTTTAAGTTCAGGGGTACATGTGCAGGTTTGTTATATAGGTAAACTTGTGTCACAGGGTTTGTTGTACAGATTATTTCATCACCCAAGTATTAAGCCTAGTACTCAGTTATTTTTCCCGTTCCTCTCCCTCCTCCCTCCCTCCACCCTCAGTTAGTCCCCCAGTGTCTGTTCCCCTCTCTGTGTTCGTGTGTTCTCATAATTTAGCTGCCACTTATAAGTGAGAACAGGTGGTATTCGGTTTTCTCTTCCTATGTTAGTTTGCTAAGGATAATGTCCTCCAGCTCCAACCCTGTTCCTGCAAGGAACATGATTTCAGTTTTTTTGTGACTGCATAGTATTCCGTGGTGTATATGCACCAAATTTTTTTAATCCAGTCTACTACTGATGGGCATTTAGGTTGATTCCCTGTCTTTGTTACTGTGAATAGTTAAAATAGGACTTTCAAAGCCACTAACACTCCATGCTGCCAAGTGCCATGGTTACTATTTTATCCTCGTCTTATTTGATCTCTCAACAGCATTTGATGCAACTGTCGATCTTCTTCCTGCACTGCACCCTTCCTCGGCTCCTGCCACCTCGCTTTTCTGGTTTCCCTCCTATTTGACTGACCACTCCTCAGACTCCTCTTCCTCCTCTGTGAAACCTAAAAATGTCGGAGTGACCCAAAGGTCAGTTCGACGGCCACCTACTCAACTCTGTCTACACTCCCTGACTAGATGACTTCATCTTGCCTCATGGTTTTAAATACATCTATATACCTATGACCCCAAATGTGTATCTTCAGCCCTGATCTCTTCACCCAGCTCTAAACTCATATAGCAAACCATCTACCTGACTTCTCTATGTAGGTTCAAATGGCCATTGCAAACATCACGTGGCCAAAATGGAAAACGGGGCTCCTATCTCCTGTCCCTGTTGCTCCCTGAGTTGTCTCCATCCACGTAAACAACACCATCATCCAACCAATAGCTGAAGCAAAATGACCATGAGTCTATCTCTCTCTTTCCCCCATTCTTCACATCAGCAAGTCCTTTTGGCTTTACCCCCAAAGTATATTCTGAATTCATTCACTCTTCTCTATCCCCACCTCCTCCCTGAGCTCAAGCTATTTTCCTGTCTTGCCTAGACTCCTGTGACAACTTCCTCTTTTGTACTCATTTGCCTGGGGATGACTATTTAGGTTGTTACTATTTTTTTTTCCTCTTTTATGGCGATGCTGTAATAACCTCCTCACACATTTCTCTGTGTATGTGTGAGAGCTTCTCTGAGACAATTCCCCTTGATGGGAGGGAATTTCTGCATCATAGAATAGACACATTTTCAAGTTTACCAAGGACCATCAAGTTGTTCTCAAAAGTGCCCGGCAGCTTGAAGTATTCTTATTTCGCTCGGTTGTCCGCAGCCTTTGACATTCACTGGCTTTAAAATTTCACAGCTTTAAAGATGACAAGGAGAACCTTTCATTTCTCTAACTAGTTAAGAGATGTGGGCACTCGACTTTCTTCTTTTGCTATGCATATGCCTTGACCATTGCTCTATTGAGGCTATTTATCATTGTCTAATTGAGCTAAGGATCTTTTATCAACATTCTGAATACTATTTTTTGTACTCTACAAATGCTGCAAATATCTACTCCCTGTCTGTTGCCTGTCTTTGTTTTTGTTTTTGAGCTGGAGTCTCCTTCTGTTGCCCAGGCTGGAGTGCAGTGTCGCCATCTTGGCTCACTGCAACCACCGCCTCTTGGGTTCAGGTGATTCTCCTGCCTCAGCTTCCCGAGTAGCTAGGATTACAGGCATGCACCACCACATCCAGCTAATTTTGTATTTTTAGTAGAGATGGGGTTTCACCATGTTGGCCAGGATGGTCTTGATCTCTTGACCTCGTGATCTGCCCACCTCGGCCTCCCGAAGTGCTGGGACTACAGGCGTAAGCCACCACGCCCAGCCTGTTGCTTGTCTTTTAAGGTTGTTCATGGTTGTGTGTCTTTTTATCATATGCATGTTTCAAATGTATTGTTGTCAAATATGGGAATTTTTAAAACTTTTAGGTTCAGGCCTACATGTGCTGGTTTGTTATATAGGTAAATTGCATGTCCCAGGGGTTTGGTGTACTGATTATTTCATCACCCAGGTAATAAGCATAGTACCCAAAAGGTACTTTTTCCATTGCTTTTGGACCGTTTATGCTTACTGGGCCATACTTAAGAGTCCTTAGCCTTCCTGAGTTGTTAGTTGTTTCTGTGTTCTTCTAATCATCGTAAAGTTTTACTTCCCATGTCCAGGTGTTTGCTGCTGCCCCTCCCCCTCCCTCTTCCCCTTCCCTTCCCCTTCTTCTTTTCCTTCTTCTTGTGCTTCTTCTTTTGAGACAGGGCCTCTCTCTGTTGCCCAGGCTGCAGTGGAGTGGCACAATCATGGCTCACTGCAGCCTCTACTTCCTGGGATCAAGGAATCCTCCCACCTCAGCCTTCCGAGTAGCTGGGATTACAGGTGTGCACCACCACACCTGGCTAATTTTTTGAAATTTTATAGAGACAGGGTGTCCCTGTGTTGCCCAGGGTGATCTTGAACTCCTGGGCTCAAGCAATCCTTCTGCCTCAGGCTCCTGAAGTTCTGGGATTACAGGCATAAGCCACTGCACCCAAATTCTGAATGTATTTTGGGCATGTTTACATCACTTTTATAATCACAACATTTAAAAATCATGTTTAAAAGGGAGATTCCGCTCTGCCAAGTGATTCTTCCCTATCCCTCCCCTTTGCTGTCCCTTCCTCCAGGGAGACTCACCCAGCATCTGGCCCAGGTGCTCCCCTCCTACATCAGAGAATTGGTTGTGACTGAGATCCAGCTTTTTAATTTGGTAATTGGTCTACAGAAACAAACAGGGGAAAGAGAAGGATTTTTTGTCTTCTGATTGCAAATATCTTACTTATCTCAGGGCAGTATGATGGTGGGGCTCTGATGTACCAAAAATTAGGTGAAGACAATGTCTTAGGCATTTTTTGTTGGACTGTTGATGGCTGCTGGGAGAACTTAGTGCCATATAAACAGCTCTACCATTTGCTGTGCCTTTGTTGGGGTTGGCAGGGTCTAAACACTCCCCAGTCCCTAACATGTGAAAGTAGCCTCACGTTACTGTGCCCATAGCAGCCCCAGGTTGCCCAGATCTCCCAGGGACATCGCCCACGTGGCTTGGCTGCACTCCCTGCCTCTTACCGACAGGGCTTGGCAGAGCAGTGCTGCGGAGTCTTCCTTGAAGTCATTTCCTGTAGTGAGGGTGGTGTGTCAGTGATGCACTGCTAGACCATGGCTCCCTTCCTCTCCCACCCCCTGCCCCTCCCAGTCCACTTCCCTTTAGAACAATCGAACAGAAAAAAGGTGGTAGGGGCCAGACGCATTGGCTTACGCCTGTAATCCCAGCACTTTGGGAGGCGGAAGTGGGAGGATGACTTGAGCCCAGGAGTTTGAGACCAGCCTGGGCAACATAGTGAGCCCTTGTCTCTACAAAGAATTTTTAAAAAAATTAGCCAGTCATGGTGGCATGAACCTGTGGTCCCAGCTACTTTGGAGGCTGAGGTGGGAGGATCACTTGAACCCAGGAGGTCGAGGCTGCAGTGTGCCATGTTGGTGCCACTGCACTCCAGCCTGGGTGACAGACCAAGATCCTGTTTTTAAAAAAAGAAAAGGAGCCTGGGTACTGTGGCTCATGCCTATAATCCCAGAACTTTTACAGGCCAAGGCGAGTGGATCACCTGAGGTCAGGAGTTCGAGACCAGTCTGGCCAATATGGCAAAACCCTGTCTCTACTAAGAATACAAAAATTAGGCATGATGGCGCACACCTGTGGTCCCAGCTACTCAGGAGGCTGAGGCACGAGAAATGCTTGAATCTGGGAGGTGGAGATTGCAGTGAGCTGAGATCACAACGCCACTGCACTCCAGCCTGGGTGACAGAGAAAGACTTCACCTCAAAAATAAAATAATAAAATCAAATAAAAAAGGAAGGGACAGGACAGGACAGGAAGGGACTTAAAGCAAGTATTACATGGACAAAAGAGAACAAGGCAACTGTTTACCCTCTCTTTTAACATTGCCTTTTCTCTCTGCCATGAACTTCCAGGAGTTGGTAGCATACCCTGTGCATTCATTAGCAGCATCAACCCCCAGCCTAGTGCCTAGAGTCTATAACATCCTAAAAATGCTCATCCAAGTTCAAGCAGCAGGACTGGGACACCTGTGAGTGAGACACTTACCATGTGTGCAAAATTTAAGAGGTGCCTAAAAACTCAGTAATCAAGAAGAATAATATCCTAATACAACATTTTAAAAAACCAAAATTAGTGTAAAATCATCTATATTGAACAAGTTTTTTTTTTTTTTTTTTTTTTTTTTTTTTTTTTTTGAGACGGAGTCTCGCTCTGTCACCCAGACTGGAGTGCAGTGCAGTGGCGTGATCTCGGCTTACTGCAACCTCCATCTCCTGGGTTCAAGCAATTCTCCTGCCTCAGCCTCCTGAGTAACTGGGATTACAGGTTGTGCACCACCACACCCAGCTAATTTTTATATTTTTAGTACAGACACAGTTTCAACATGTTGGTCAGGCTGGTCTCAAACTCCTGACCTTGTGATCTGCCCACCTCAGCCTCCTAAAGTGCTGGGATTCGCACCTGGTGTCTTTATAATTTTAAAATCTGACCCTGCACACACATGACTAGACCTTATTCACCTCAGTCCATTCAATCCCTGCTAGATGCTGTTTTTATTTAATGTCTTGATATTTTGCACATCAGGATATTTTGGCACTCCTTACATTTTGTGACCAACGCAAATGGCTCACTCACCTTACCTGAGTTGTGGCCCTGCTAAGCAATGTAAGACACTGGTGATTTCTGGGAAGTACATGACATAGAGCCTTATTCCCAAATTTCCTCCTTTGAACCCTCAATAATCTCTACCACCTAAATAGTGCTTGGCACATAACAGGTCCTTAGTAAAGTGAGTGAATGAATGAATGAATGAATGAATGAATGCATTCACTGGAACACAAATACTTGTTTGGCTGTGTCTGTTAGCAGTGCAATAAAGTGAGATAATAAGCTAGTCAATGCATAAAACTAGGTGATTAGTTATTCAAATTCTTGTGTTTAAATCAGTGGTTACAGATACTACAGAGCTGGTTGTAAGAGAATTATTTGTGAAATTTGATAAAACACAGATTCCAAGATTTCTCCTGCCAAAGATTCTGATTTCACCAGTCTGGGATAGGACTGGGTGATTTGTATTTTTACAAAGAACTTTCTGTACTATGTTAACACATTATGTTAGGGGTCTTAGCCAATGCAACCAGAAAAATAATTAGGAGATATAAATATTGGAAAAGAAAAAACTTTCATTATTTGCAGGTATAATCACCTATCTAAATAATTCTATAAAATTAATTAACAAAATGTTAGAACTCATAAGATAATTTAATAAAGTGACTGGATATAGAATTAATGTACAAAAATTAATAGCTTTCAGACACACCGGTAATGACCAATTAGAAAATGTGATAGAAAAAAACATTCTGTTCACATAAGATAAAATAATAGAAGACCTAGAAATAAACCTAATATAAATAATGCAAGGCTTATAATAGAAGAAACTAAAACTTTACTCAAGAATGTAAAAAGACCTGGGGCTGGGCACAGTAGCTCACACCTGTAATCCCAGCACTTTGGGAGGCTGAGGCGGGTGGATCACCTGAGGCTGGGAATTCGAGACCAGCCTGACCAACATGGAGAAACCCCATCTCTACTAAAAGTACAAAATTAGCTGGGTGTGGTGGCACATGCCTGTAATCTCAGCTACTCGGTAGGCTGAGGCAGGAGAATCGCTTGAACCCAGGAGGCAGAGACTGCAGTGAGCCAAGATCATGCCATTGCACTCCAGCCTGGCAACAAGAGTGAAACTCCTTCTAAAAAAAAAAAAAAAGAAAAAGAAAAAAAAAGAATATAAAAATACCTGAAGGAGTAGAGATAAACCATGTTCATAAATGAGGAGACTCAATATTGTGAATGTCAGTTCTTTCATAAATTAATCTAGAATATTAAATGGAACCCCAACCAAAACCCCAACAGGTGTTTTTTTTCTTTTTTTTCTTAAATAGAACTTGACAAAATGATTCTAAAATTCACCTGGAGGAGAAACTGCACAAGAATAGCCAAGACTACTATTACTTACAATACTAATAGCCAAGATTGCAGAATTATTTTGAAAAAAAATTCAAGATTACTTTGAAAAAAAGATTCAAGATTACTTTGAAAAAAGGGGTAGTCTTTGCCCACTCACACACGAAACATATTTATTGGCTGGGCACAGTGGCTCATGCCTGTAATCCCAGCACTCTGGGAGGCTGAGGCAGTTGGATCACTTGAGGTCAGGAGTTCGAGACCAGCCTGGCCAACATGGCAAAACTCTGTCTCTACTAAAAATACAAAAATTAGCTGGGCATGGCAGCAGGCGCCTGTAATTCCAGCTACTCGGGAGGCTGAGGCAGGAGAATCACTTGAGCCCAGGAGGCAGAGGTTATAACAAGCTGAGATGGCACCACTGCACTCCAGCCTGGGCGACAGAGGGAGACTCCGTCTCAAAAACAAAGAAATGCAAAATATTTATTATAAGATTTTATAACTTATATATTAAATAGTACATCATCATTTTTTGTATTAGTCACAACATCTTATGTTATAATATGTAGTAATTATAATTTTAATATTCTAAACAAATATTAAGACAATGCAGTGTTGACATAGAAATACATAAATAGGCCAGGTGCGGTGGCTCATGCCTGTAATCCCAGCACTTTGGGAGGCCGAGGCAGGCGGATCACGAGGTCAGGAGATCAAGACCATCCTGGCTAACACGGTGAAACCCCGTCTCTACTAAAAATACAAAAAATTAGCCGGGCGAGGTGGCGGGCGCCTGTAGTCCCCGCTACTCGGGAGGCTGAGGCAGGAGAATGGTGTGAACCCCGGGGGGCAGAGCCTGCAGTGAGCCGAGATTGTGCCACTGCACTCCAGCCTGGGTGACAGTGAGACTCCGTCTCAAAAAAAAAAAAAAAAAAGAAATACATAAATAGATTAATGAAATAAAATAGAGACTCTAGAAGGAAACCTATATTTATAATGGAAGTTTAATACATGATAAAGATGACATTTCAAATTAATGAGAAAAGGATCAATTATTACATTGATGATGCTGGAGTACCTGGTTATCAGTTTTGGAAATAAAACATCTGATTTCTACTTCATTCCATGCACAAACAAGTACTAGATATATTAGAGAGCTAAGAGTAGAAACCACAACAACAACAAAAATAGAAGAAAATAAAGGAAAATATTTTTACCTAATTTTTTTTCTTTTTCTTTTTTATAGATGGGGTCTTGCTATGTTGCCCAGGGGGGCCAGTCCTGGGCTCAAGCAATTTTCCCACCTCAGCCTCCTGAGTAGATGGGACTGTCGGTACATGCCACCACTCCTGGTTCAGGAAAATATTTTTATAAACTTTAGGAAAGAGTTTTAAAGCCAGGCTACAAAAATTAAATACATAAAGGAAAAAGACTATAAAACTTGACATCAATAAAAGATATAAACTTTGCTACAAGAAAGTACCATAAACAGGCTGGGCACGGTGTCTCAAGCCTGTAATTCCAGCACTTTGGGAGGCTGAGGCGGGCAGATCACAAGGTCAAGAGATCGAGACCATCCTGGCCAACATGGTGAAACCCCGTGTCTACTAAAAATACAAAAATTAGCTGGGTGTGGTGGCGGGCACCTATAGTCCCAGCTACTCAGGAGGCTGAGGCAGGAGAATTGCTTGAACCTGGGAGGCGGGGGTTGCAGTGAGTCGAGGTCGAGAAAGTACCATAAATAAAGCCGTATCTAACATTCTAACATTCAAGTATGAATATCTATAGTTTATGAAGAATGGCTAAAACTCAGTCACACTAACAACCCCATACAACAATTGACATTTCATAGAAAAGAAAATAGAAGTGGAAGTGAGCTTCTGAAAAAGTGTTCTATTTCAATAGTAATAGAATGTGTAACAGTAACAAAGACAATAATAGCGAGAAACACATTGAATACTTATGTACTAGGTATAGTTCTAGGAGTTTTAGATTTTAATTCACTTAATCTTCACAATAACCATCTGAGGTAATATAATTATCCTTATTTTATGAATGAGAAAATGAGGCACAAACTGTTTAAAAAACTTGCCCAGTGTCAAAGCTGGGATTTGAACCCAAGCACTGTGACTTCTACACCCACATGCTTAACCATTTTGATTCACAAATTGCTTGTTATTTCCCTTCTGGGGATGGTATAGGCAACAGTCCATTGGTAGAATTATAACCTGGCAGTCTTTTTAAAGGGAAATTTGGAAATCAGTTGTTAAGTTCACAAAAATGGATACATCTTCATATTCAGTAATTGTGCTCCTGGGTGTCGATCTAGAAATACAAGAACATGTGCCTAAAAGATACATGTACAAGAAAGTCCTTTAAAACATTACTTGAAGGCAAAATTAGAAATGACTTTAATCTCCTTTCTCCCAAATAGGGGGATGTTAAATAAACTATGGTATGTCCATAACTCAGAATACTAGCCAGCAGTTCAAGAGAATTAGATAAATCTATTTGTTCTGCCATAGAAAGAAATCCAAGACATATTTAGTGGAAAACAAGAAAAATTGGAGAACAATAACTGACATGTAAAAACATTTATGTTAAAAATACACGAACTAAGGCTGGGCATGGTGGCTTATGCCTGTAATCCCACCACTTTGGGAGGCTGAGGCGGGAGGATTGCTTGAGCCCAGGAGTTTGAGACTAGCCTGGACAACATGGTGAGATGGGGACAACCCGTCTTTATAGAGAAAAATACACAAACTTTATTTCTGTATTTTTTCCCTAGACACTCTTCAGATCTTCTCTGTGTGTTAATGGTTTTTCAGAGATATAATCAAGTGTGGATTCTTTTTTATATACCTTTCTTAGGAGTTACTGGGATTCCTGTATCTGCACATTTATCAATTCAGGGAACATGTTAGCTGTTATTTGTTCAAATATTGCTGCTCATTCATTTCTTCTCCTTCTGGAAACTAGTCATTCATTTCATTCTTTTATCTTTTATATTCTCTATGTCTTTGTCTTTCTATGCTGCAAAGATAGATAAAATGTTTTCCACTAATTCTATTCACCTGTAACTAATGTGCCATTGAATTTATTTGTTCAGTCTTTAATATCAGTGACTATAAATTTTTCATTGTAAGAAACCCTTGGTGTGGAGAGGAGGGGAGGTCTCTTTTTAAGTGATTTGTTCTTTTATGATTTTATTTTATGTTCTTAATCATATTAAACATAGTTTATGATTGGGTGCAAGATATCTCAGTTTGCTTGTGGTTCCAGTTAATTAATAGTTCCCTATTCAGTTTGGGTGGTAAAGTACATGATAAATTATTGTTTATATATCATCTGTAATGTCAGATATGGATGATAAATGGCGGGGGCTAGGGGAGTGTGACTGGGAGGGTTTAGCAGGCATAGATGCAGTATTCTGGTCTCCAAGACTAGAAGGACATGGTCTGGTTCAATGAGACATTGAATTCTCTGTTTTTCCCCTCTTCCCTCCCTCTGATTCCCAGTGTCTTCTCCCTCCCTTTCCATGTGCTCACCTGAAAGCTCAAGGCTCCAGATAGAAGAACTGTTTCTCTCAAAGAAATCTGAGATGATTCTGGCCCCCTCCAAACCAAGGTGATTGTTGGAAATATTCTAAAAGGCAAGAAAACACTTCGGTATGTAAAAAAGCTCACCAAAGGGCCCTCATGAAAAAATGATGTCTTTTGTGGTTTACTTGAGTCCTGTGCTGAGGGAGTAGGGTTGGGGTGGGAAAGGATTAGGAGGATTAGGGAGGTGCCAAGGACGAAGAGAAGGGCAATAGGAAACCGGGCTCTAGAGCCAGCTTTTCCAGGGCCTCCCGGTGGGACCCGTGGGCTAGCTGGTCTCAGTTTTTTGAAGTTGGCTTCAAGGACTCCCTGTTTTCCCAATTTAGCCTTGGTGCTTCAGATAAGCATACTATTTTGTTTCTTTGTATTAAAACCCAAAACAGCTTCATTTGGAGAGCTTGGCAGTGAAACAGTGAAAAATGAGTTTAGAGTGCATAATCATTGTAAATTCTACTCATTGATTTGGGAAGTATGAATTGTCCTTTTAAGCTAGTGGGAGAGACTTTATATAAAGTGGCCATTATTGTCTTAATTGGTTGTTCCCCCTTTTCTTTGAATTTCTTTTTATGATGGTAAAATAAGCATAACATATTATTTACCATCTTTGCCGTTTTTCAGTGTCCAGTGGCGTGGTATTAAGCATATTCACATTGTGTAACCATCACCGCCAGCCATCTCTAGGCACATTGTCTTTTATGACATTATTTCATGTCTTTACTTTCTTTAAGAAAGTTCACTTTAAGGCAACTATGCAGAGCTACATTTATCAATTTTTTTTTGAAACAGAGTCTCACTCTGTCACCCAGGCTGGAGTGCAGTGGCGTCATCTCGGCTAACTGCAACCTCTGCCTCTGGGGTTCAAGTGATTCTCCTGCCTCAGCCTCCCGAGTAGCTGGGATTACAGGCACACACCACCATGCACAGCTAAGTTTTTATATTTTTAGTAGAGGCGGGGTTCCACCATGTTGGCCAGGCTGGTCTTGAACTTCTGACCTCAGGTGATCTGCCCACTTTGCCTTCCCAAAGTGTCGGGATTACAGGCGTGAGCCATCATGCCTGGCCACATTTATCATTTTTAAGGGCTTCTAAGGTCCAGACAGAAGTGGTTTCTTTTTTTTTTTTTTTTTTTGAGATGGAGTCTCATTCTTGTCGCCCAGGCTGGAGTGCTGTGGTGCGATCTCAGCTCACTGCAATCTCCACCTGCTGGGTTCAAGCCATTCTCCTGCCTCAGCCTCCTAAGTAGCTGGGATTACACCACCATGCCTGCTAATTTTTGTACTTTTAGTAGAGACGGGGTTTCACCATGTTGGCCAGGCTGGGTTTGAACTCCTGACCTCAGGCGATCCTCCCACCTCGGCCTCCCAAAGTGCTGGGATTGCAGGTGTGAGCCACCGCGCCCAGCCATAAATTGTTTCTTAGGTTTTCCTACAGCCATAGGAAACACAGCCTCTCACATGTGGCCCTCCTCTAAGAAGTCGTGTGGGAAGGGCAGGGGCGGGCAGGAGCCTGGAGGCAGCCTGGGTCCTGGCAGGGCCTCTGGCTTGTCTCCAGTGGGTTGTGAATCCCCAGGGATGATGGTAAGAGCCAGCACAGGGGGGCACAGTACCATCTCCTGGAGGTAGTAGTTCTCTTGTAGCATCTCCACCAGGCTCAAGACGCCCTCCTCCATGATGCAATTGTCTTCCAGCTCCAGTTTGGTAACAGCCATGTTGGACTTCAGCCAGCACAAGGGGAGGGAGAGAGACACAGAAGTGGTTGGTGACCCAGTCAGTTCCCTGCTCGCCCTGGGCCAGCCATGTGAATGGGCGTGGAGATGCAGGCTAGGAATTCTGAAGGCCTGGCAAGGGCGAGGAGACCAGAACGGGGGCTGAACCAACCCGTGGAGTTTTGCTAGGACAATACGCTGATTCTGGGAGAATTTATAAAAGGATCCTGAAAGCAATTAAAACCCTGACAAGTTGGAGGCACAAGGATGAGCTAAACAGATTTTAACTATTTAGCCCTAAGGGGACAGAACTGTGACCTACTCCAAGATTAAGGAAAACTTGATACATTGAATAAGGATATTTAAACATAAAGATTCTTGCAAGGAGGTCCTTTAAAGCATTGATTTTGCTTTCTTCAGAGGCCTTTCTTCTAATTTACGCTTAAGTTTTATCTGGGACACTCTTTTTAATTTGTATTCATTTATTTATTATTATTTTTTGAGACGGGGTCTATGTTGCCCAGGCTGATCTCAAACTCCTGGGCTCAAGTGATCCTCCTGCCTTAGCCTCCCAAGTTGCTGGAATTACAGGCATGAGCCACCACACCTCGCTCTGGTACTCTCTTTACTAGGAGGTGACCTCAAGTCTGTTTGGAAGGAATTGGACATATAAATCTTTGGTGAATATCTAGATCCAAGATAGTCTGCATTTCTTTTTTTTTTTTTTTTGAGATGGAGTCTTGCTCTGTCGCCCAGGATGGAGTGCAGTGGCGTGATCTCGGCTCACTGCAACCTCTGCTTCCTGGATTCAAGCAATCCTCCCTGCCTCAGCCTCCTGAGTAGCTGGGATTACAGGTGCCCACCACCACACCTGGCTAATTTTTGTATTTTTTTGAGTAGAGATGAGGTTTCACCATGTTCACCAGGCTCGTCTTAAACTTCTGACCTCAGGTGATCCACCCGCCTTGGCCTCCCAAAGTGCTGAGATTACAGGCGTGAGCCACTAGTCTGCATTTCTATGAGGGGCAAGAGGAGAGAGAGGAAAGGATTCGCATTGCAGCATGAAGGACTTGGGTTAGCTCTAATCAGAACTTTGATCTTCCCTTCCCCACCTTGTTCCCAGTACACACAGGTACAGAGAACAGACACAGGTTTGGATTTGAGCATTTTCAAGGCCCACTAAGGAGCAAGAGAAGTAGCAGGTGGAAGGAGTGTTAATGCTGGTCCTCCGCCACCCTCTCCCCTGAAAAAGGAAAATGTGATAGTCCAAGCTATTGCAATGCAGGATGGTTCACCCTGGGGCTTCCTGAAATGTCTTCTGGTCTCAGCTCTCTGGGCTGAGCAAAATTCAATTGCCTTGAGTTGTGCTCAAAGGTGAGGGAGATGGCTCAGGGGGCCTCCCGTCTAGGTGCTATTTAGGAGTGTCTAGAAACATGAGTCGAATCACCACTGCCAGATTCATACTGGGGACCAGCACATTCCAGGGGGAAGCAGGAGGCCCAGTCCCCAAATCCATCCACATTTATTTCACACGGGCCATTGTCTATTTGTCACTATCTGTGTTCACTGCTGGGGAACAAGGATTAACAGAGAACATTCCCATTCTCACACCACCTGCTGCCCCCACATGCAAGGGTACAGTGCTAGGCTGTCGAGGGATACACACAAGGATGAAATACGATGCCTGCTATTAGCGTGCTCCTAATCTAGGCCAGGGAAACACAAACATGTGAAAAGTTAATCAGTACAAAGAGCAAATAGAAGTTCAGTCTACCAGAATGTCATGATGATTAATTGTCAAATGAATGATACAGAGAATGGGGGAAGAAGAAACTCCCCTCAAACAGAAACCGCTGTTACTACGAAACAAGTGGTCCAAGTCCTGAGAGGATGTCATTATCATCCATGTTTTTCCCACGAAGCTCATGAGGTAATGGTGCGTTCCTAACACTTCATTAATCAGCCTTTCCACCCTTGATAAATCTCAAGACGGCTTTGTTCTTTCTCGGCTCCTTTCTTCCCATCCCCGGAAAACAGTGCAATCTCACATTTTGTGTCACTTCTTAAAGTGCACACAAATGCTAAACGCAAATGCTGTTATATGTTTAAGAAAGAATGAGTGTGTTGGGGAAAGTGAGGAAAAATAAGACCATGTATTCTACAAATACACCATTCAATGCCAAGTGGGGGCTAGGCACTTGAATAGCACATAAGCCTATCCTTATCATACAAGGAACTTACATTCTAACAGTGATTACAGTAGTTCACCCCTATCCTTGGGGGAAAACATCAAGACCGCTGGTAAATGCCTGATACCAAAGATAGTACCAAACCCTAAATATACTATGTTTTTTTCCTATATATACTTACCCATGATAAAGTTTAATTCACAAATTAGGCACAATAAGAGGGTAACAATAACTAATAATAAAATAGAACATTTATTATAATATACTATCATAAAAGTAATGTTGCCAGGGCATGGTGGCTCATGCCTGTAATCCCAGCACTTTGAGAGGCCAAGGCGGGAGGATCACTTGAGGCCAGAAGTTCAAGACCAGCCTGGCCAACATAGTGAAACCCCATCTCTACTAAAAATACGAAAAATTAGCCAGGCATGGTGGTGCGCACCTGTAATCCCAGCTACTCGGGAGGCTGAGGCAGGAGAATCACTTGAACCTGGGAGGTAGAAGTTGCAGTGAGCTCAGATCATGACCCTGCACTCCAGCCTGGGAGACAGAGTGAGACTCTGTCTCAAAAAAAAAAAAAAAAAAAAAAAGTGATGTGAATGTGGCATCTCTCTCTCTCGTTCTCTCTCAAAATACCTTATTGTACTGTAAGAACAACTGAAACAGTAGACAGTGAAACTGTGGGTAAGGGTGGACTACTATACCTTCTAGCAACCAACAATGACAGTGTATTTCAAGACTTTTTGGAGCTTGCCATGTATTTCATAACTGAATAGACATGGACGCACAGAATTGCCTTCCTCATTCATCACTCTCTCAGATGTCTGCATCATTGAACTTGGCCAACTCAGTTTTCCTGCAGCTTGTGTTTGGCTGTCTCTACCATTCTGTAGCTTCTCCTGTCTTTCAGTCACTCATTCTCTATTGAATTCACTGACTCCTTTTCTTCTTTCAGATCCTTTATAAATAATATTTTTAAAGAATTATTTCTCAGTCCTGAAACTGTCCCTATCAACTTTATAAAATTGATCAGGGAAGAAGGGAGGGGAGAAATGGGAATCAGCCCAGCTTGCAGCACACACAGCATTGGTCATGAGGTCAGCTGCTCTCTGACCCCTTCCTCAGAGTTGTTTGCTGCCTGTTGCCCCAGAACCACATAGACTCTGTCACAGGATCATAGTTCCTTTTCACTGCTCTGCAGATAACATTGCAGCATTGTGAAATGTTCAGTTTTCCATCTGAGATGCTGGTGAAACTACTACTGACATCAGCTGGTCTGAAGGACCCCAAGAGGAGCTGACTCACCAAAAGCATGCAGCTGCTACCTCCTGATGATTTAATCCCCCTTGTCCCGACCAATCAATGATCCTAATTTTTCAGCCCCTTGTCCTCCAAGATCCCCTTAAAAACTGTTGGCCAGGCCAGGTCCAGTGGCTTATGCCTGTAATCCCAGCAGTTTAGGATCCTGAGGTGGGTGGATCACCTGAGCCCAGGAGTTTGAGACCAGCCTGGGCAACATAGCAAGACTCCTTCTCTACTAAAAATGCAAAAATTAGTTGGGTGCAATAGTGAATACCTGTGGTCCTAAATAATCAAGAGGCTGAGGCAGGAGGATCACTTAAGCTCAGGAGGTCAAATCTGCAGTGAGCCATGATCATGCTACTGCATTCCAGACTGGACAACAGAGAAAACCTGTCTCAAACAAACAACTCTAGACCAGAACTCCTTAGGGAAATGGATGGAAGGGTTCCTTTCATTTCCTTGCTTGGCCACCCTGTGATCATTAAACTCTTTCTTTGCTGCAAACTCTGCTGTTTCAGTGTATTGGTCCTTACTGCACAGTGAGCATATGAACCTGGTGGTCCTGTAAGTCCTCTTTATTTTTCTCTGTTCATTCTTTCCATGGATAATTTAACTATTACCAATTTTAAATGTCACCTCTAAAGACACATCTACCTCTCTACCTTACTGAGCTTTTTTATAATGGAATTTTCTGTTTACTTTTCTAAGTGGACAAACAGTGCTATGCTGACAGGCAGTTGTTAGGTTTTCTGTTTTTCTGTGATGGGAGTCAGTTTTGTGTGTAAATCAGTTATAATTATATAAAGTCATGATGAACTCAAGGTCAAGTCCTTGTTTGGTCATACCAAGCTGAGAGATAACACTATTTCTGTGGGAAAACTTGATTTACTCTACACCGTGGTCTTTATGAAATATAATGTTGCACAAGGCAGACATTGAATGGAATGGGTCAGTAGTAAACCCATTTACAGCAAAAGTGAGCTTTGGAATGAAGACCCAGGCTGGCATTTTGTTGGTGCTCTTACATTGATAATTGGGCCTGGTCACTTTTCCTGGGCCCAGGGGCTGGTGCCTTTGCTTCCTGAACAGCAAAGAGTATATAGACTTCTATTTTTTTCTCCTCAAAGTCTCTGCAAGGAGCATAGACTTCCAAGGCCCAGGTTGCTAGTAGCCTCCTACCAGGAGCTAAATAAATCATCTGGCAGCCAAGCAGAGCCCAGGGCAGTGTGGCATAAGGGCATAAAGTGTGGGTTTAGGCTCCATAGGAGGGGCCCTCTGAATCTTGGGCCTACCACTCTGCCAACCCTCCACCTCCTCCAGGTTTCATGAGCTCCCACTAGCATGCTCACCACCAGGGCTATAGCAATAGCCTTGGTACCCCTGGGGCCCAGGCCGTGGTGGTTGAGGTTCACGTAGGACTCCTCCATGTTCCGAATGAAGTAGGAGACAGGCACTACACCCATCAGCTTGCAGGCCTCCAGGTACAGCTCCTTTTGTCCAGTGGTGAAAAATTTCTCATCATCTGCAGAGAAAGATGGGCTGAAGTAGGATTTCTCTTCCACCTTTGCCTTCTCTCCCCTCTAGCCCCAGTGACATTCACTCATGTCTAGACTGTCCTCTGCCAGAGGATCTCTCCCTGTGGGTATGTGCTAAGAAGCCTGCTCCTGTCTGGGAAGTCAGTCCATGGTGGGAGAGGGAGACTCTAACTCCAGAAAGTCCCAGATGAATGTTTCCCTTTGGGTAGGAGATGAGGCCCATGGTTTTAGGCCAGAAGCTTTCCTAGAAGTGAGCAGTGGGCTTCACCCCACCTGCCCAGGTTGGCCACATCCAGTGACTGGTCATCAAGGACATAGAAGGCCCAAGCCCTCTTGCCCACCTTTGGACAATTCTGAAAGGCCAAACGCGGATGACTTTTGATGGTTGATGGAATCTTCATTTCACTTTTAGTTTCACCGCCACTATCACAAGGTTGTGAGTCATGAAAAAAGCTTCACCAAAGACTTAGAGAGGCACCAACATTTAAAAAGCCCAACTAGGACAGAGTGGACTTCTCAAAATGGCAAACCAGTGAATATGGAAAGACCTCCACATCAGCGAGAAACAAGCATGCTTGCATGTGAATGGTCTTTCTTCTTTCAAAAGCTTGCATGTCATTTTCCTTATAAAAAGGACTGTCATCCTTGCTTTATTGACGACAAACCTAGCCTCAAATAACACACAGTTGGTCAATGCTAAAACCAGCTAACAGAAGTGGGGACTGCACCTTTCCATTCTAACCCCTGGGGGCCTTTATTTCTTAGGCTTTAGGCCAGCCTGGCCCATGGTCACTGGGCATCGGGCCTCCCTGGATTCTGGGTGCCCCACAGCTGTGTCCTCATTAGGCAAGTCCAGCCTATGGCAGGGCTTCCTGAGGCCAGCTGGCGTCTATGTCTGCATCTGTTTTTCCTTCAGATCCCAGGGCCTTTGGCCAACCCCCTCCCCCTCCAAACAATCTAAGGCTGACAATGGGAGCTTTGTTGGTGAAAGGACAAGTGCTTTACAGGGAAGCTGATTTTGCAAGCACAACTACAAATTAGACTTCTCTTTGGGACGCTTGTACAGCAGCGCTTCTCAGCCTCAGCACTGCAGGTATTTTGGGCTGGATAATTCTGTTCTGAGGGCTGTCCTATACATAGTAGGGTGTTTAGTAGGATCTCTGGCGTGGACCCACAAGATGCCAGTAGCAACCCCCCTCCCCTAGTTTGCCCAATGTCCCCTTGGTGCAAAATTGCTTCCAGGTGAGAACCACTGTTGTGGAGAAAAACAGCTCATGGCAAGTGAGCAAACCAGGCTCGTCTCCCCCTTTTCTCTAGACTCACAGCCAGCACTGCTCCCAGCTGGCCCATTTCCCATGCCCTCCCTGCCCATTCCCAGTGTCTCAGCACCCACAGCAGGAGCACCAGGAGCCAGGGCTGCTGAGCCCCGAGTTACCATTCAGGACAGAGTTTTTGGTGCCACATTCAGCCATTAGAGGTTCCTGTTGGCAAAAGCAGGGAAGGTAACCCCCAGGTTTTGTCCCTGGGACTAATTCTGCTGGGTTTGATGCTGACCCTTTCTAGCTGTGTTCCCTATTGTTATATTTTATGGGCAGCTTGCGACAGTGTTAGCACTTGCTGCAGTCAGGGGAAGAGATGGGGGAATGAGATAGAAACAGGACCCTTTGGCCAAACATCCAGTGTTGTCCTTTGCTACCTTCTCCAACCATGTGAATGAAGTTGGGTGTTAGAAGCAACGTTAACAACAGACTTGAAGTGGACAAGAAGCCAGAAAAAGAGCAACAAGCTGCCTGGGGGTCAGCGGGGAGGAGGTCTGCGTAGAAGGGTGAAGATGTATGTTGTATGTTGACCATGGTGGGGAGGTTTATAAACTGACTCTATGCAGATGAACTTCACAGTTTAATTTGGCAGAACTGGCCTTCCTCCATCTCTGCTGCCTGTGAATCACTGCCCACCAGCCAGCTGCAAGGATGCAGGGGAGGAAGGGTGACTGGGCTAGGCTTGGCCTGGGAAGTTTGAGGCTGACCCTGTCAGATGGAACCAGCGTCATTCTCTTGCTTCACAAGTGTTCTCTTTCGGTGCTTCCCTTCTTGGGGAAACTGGGAGGAGAGAGAGGGTGGAGGTGTTATTTGCATTAACAGAGTCTTTGTTTCAGCTCAGCCAGTCCCGATACCCAGGCATGCTTAGATTTATCAAGAAAAGTAGGGGAAACCAGAGCTCTAAGGTGAGTGTGGGAAAGTCACTGGGATGCAAGATAGGCCACAGAAACACTCCAGGGGCCTGGGATATGGAATACAGAAGGCAGAACCATCAGAGTGAGTCAAACACGGGATCAGCCAACGTGCTGGGCAAACTCCCGCTGTCCCTGGGCAATGCCTATAATCTCTTTAAGGCCCAGTTCCTCTTCTGTTGAAAACTGGCAAAGATGCCTACCTCCTAGGACTATTGCAAAGATTGCATAGGATGCCCCACGTGGAAACATTTAGAAGATTAGAAAACCTTGTTTGTGTATTGATTCCGCTTTTAACAAGACGACGTGAGGGCACTGCTCCTGAGGCAGGTGACAAGCGTGGGAAGCTGCAGCTGCTCTCCCCTGCCAGCCCGGAGGAGGACTCCAGGCAAAATCGAGCAGGCCTTTCTGCCACATTTCCTCCACAGGCCATCCGCAGGGCAGACTCTGGAAAGGAGTGAGATGACAGCTCCTGGAAACCAGATTTCTCCAGTTTCTGAGGAGAAGCTGCCCTGACTGCCCCCAAATGCCCATGCTCGCCTTCAATCTCCAGGTCTGTTTCCGAATTCTCCCGGGCTGGTTTCACTTTTTCAACAGTCGGCGGGGATTCGGCCTCACAGTAGAGCATTTTATCGCTGCTCTGTCGTACTGGCTCAATTTCAATCTCATCTGGAAGAAAAAACTCATCTCCTTGATGCCAGGAATAAAACTTGCTGGCCTCCCAATAAAGCCTGCCGCTGCCGCCCCTCCATCTCTGCTCCCTTCCTCTGAGTCCCAGGTCCTCAAGGTGCCAAGCCCTGCCAGGGCAAGTCCACTCTACAAACCTCCCTTCCCCAATAGCGCTGCCTCCGGCTGCAGGGTCTACGGGAGCTTGTGAAACCAACTCCCTTCTGCTCCCTGGAGACCGGCTGCTCCTTCCCCCTTCCCTGTCTGAGGCGTGCCTTGGAGATCGGCTCCTTGCTCACACTTTCCCATTCTTAAGTGTTTGGGTGGGTTTTGGGGTGTGCTGTTACTCTTTCAGGTGAAAGGGTGGGTCCCGATACATAGGCTTCCTTATTGTCAGGCACAAATGGTGCCAGGGAGTATAAGGGGCAGGGCAGGGCAGGGGAGGTGACAACTTAGGTCAAATAGAAAATAAAATGGACCAGGAGCAGTTCCAGAGAGCAAGAGAGAGAACTTGATTCCTAAGAATTTGACTTAGCTTCTCTTCCTTCCAATCTAACATTGATTTGTGATTAGGAAGAAGGAGGGGCTTGAAAATCTCCCTTGGGTCGAAATGAATTACTATGATTAATTCATAGTAATGAATTAATCATATTCATTGCTGGGAACAGAGCTCCCCTCACACCAGTCCTCTGCACTTGCTAGATGTGGTTTTACCACCTCTGGGCCATTGACCTGGGATCAGCCATAGGCTCCTGAAAGCCATGGGCTTCTGGAAGCCACACATAAAATCCAGAGCTCAATCCTTAGGCACTGACAGGACTCAGTAGTTTCAAGAAGCCATGCCATGCCTCTGAATGACCTGTCAGAATTTAGCCAACCTACTCATTGGGTGGGCTGAGCATTTGTGGCAGGGGTCCCAAGTTTTGACCACCCAGATTCTAGGATGGTGGGGTTCCTAATGAGTCCATGCAGGTCTTTCTTAATCCTTGTCCATAGACCCAGGTTCCAACATTTATCTCCCAGACTGTCTGGGATACACAGTGCAGGTAGCAGTGGCCTGGTAGTTAGAAGACAGACAACAGCTTGGCTGTCAGACTGCTGAGTGCCCTTAGAAAAGTGATGAATTTCTGAGTGTTAATTTCCTTGTCAAACAATTTAGAATTCCATTCAACCAGTAGAATGCTGGTAAATTTTAACAATTGATTCTCCAGGAAAAAAAACAAACAACACCAAAAACATCCTGATTTATAGTGTTAGCCAATTCATGTGGTGTAAATATTCCCAATGTGACTGATTTCAAACTATAAATGTGGTATCAACTGGCCCACACAATAAAAATTAAAGCTGGCTAGAGCCAGTATGAGGTAGTTGTGGCATAGCACTGCAGCCAATTCTTCCTGTTTGCCAAGGCCTGAACCCAAGTCAGTATAACAAATCATCCTACTTCTAGAGGGTCCCAGGTGAGGAAAGAAGTGGGCTTCAGGGTCCTGTGATCACTAGGTGTTGTACTGAGGCAGCAGGGACGGGCCTGAGTGGTGAGAGATGGGATGCCCTTTCACCTTCTGTCTCAGGCTGAAGAGGCTTGTCATTGTCCATGGTGCCAGGACCCTCTTGAGGGCAGCTGCCAACTTCTTGCCACCTCTCGACTGCTTCCCTAAGAAGCACACCTGTCCATTCACCTCTGTCTCAAACTCTGTGAACTTCCCTCACCTGGGGGCATCCCAGGGGAGCCTGCAGTTATCCTTCCCTCCCAGCAAGCCCTGGGAAGAGTAGGCTTTGATGGGAATTGGATGTGCATGAATTTGACCCCAACTCTGTCTGGGAGAGGTAGCTACTTCTCCAGCTCATCTGGGAGAGTGGGACTGCTCTATTGCTGGGAGCCCTGTTGAAAGGATCCCCACCCGCCTGTGACTTTGTGACTCAGGAGCCACTTTCATTTCATCTTCAACATTCTGTGACCTCATGCAGTCATTGTGATTCACATGGTGGACCTGGCAACAGCAGGCTTCCCGCCCTCTGGGTGGTTCTGGCAGTCACCTGTTCTCATATGTCTACTGGGGCCAAGCCCAGGCTTGGCTGTGAGTGCTCAGGTGCTGTGGGGGGTTCCTCTCAGTGGTGTTGTATTTCCCTCTGAGTCAGGACCCAACCCAAGCCCCTTAATTAGGTGACTGTGAAGAGCTGCCATCATGTTCTTCTCGCAAGAGAGCTGTGCTTCAGGTATGAAGTATTTCAGTGACGGGTGAAGTCAGTTTTCTTCTGCCCAGCTCTTCTTCCTTTTTTCTTTTCCCCGTGGGAGAGCATCTTAACCTTGGAGCTGAAGATCAAAAGCACAGCGCAATGAACATATGTCCTATCACTACAGTTTGTTGCAGCCAAAGCATTGTTCAATCCAAACTATGGGGCTGCCTACCTTGAGACGGTTCAACTAGCATTCCCACACTCGGCCATTCTCACATGTGTTGGAGTTGAAGTCCAGTTGCAGTTTGGTTTCGGGAGAATCTGGAGGCACATTTGTTCTTTCTTGATAAGTTTTCAGGACATCAATGGTCAGGTCAGTGACTGGAGGGTTTGAGGATGTGAAAATTCCTTTTTTTTTTTTTTTTTTTTGCTACTCAGAATGAGGAAGATCTAGAAATGTGTGCAAGGAAAACATGATTAGAACCATGGATCAGAAGAAATATGTATACCTGAGATGTTACTTGTTCCTTCAAGCATTCATGCTGAGAAATACATATTGAGTCTCTATTACGTACGGGCGCTAAAATAGGCACCACTGTGGGGAAGGGATGCAGACATGATTAAGACAGGACCCTTTTAAGGCATGTGCAATGCATAATAGAAATTGACAGGGCCACCCTAGGGTGAGGGTCCTGGGCAAATATTTTTGGTAGAGTTCTTGCTTGTATAAACAATTTGAGTCACCCTAAATCGGCATGGCAGCACCATTCTGGTGGCCCAATCTCATGTGGTCCTTCTAAAGAAATACCAAACAGTCCAGGGAGAGTGATCAGCTCCTAGGATGATCAGGTAGACATGAGTCCTGGTGATCCTCAGGGCATCTGGCTGGCCCACACTATTGCAGAGGATAAGGAAGCATTAAGGGGGAGAAAGAGGGATCAGAGAGCATGTGTGTCCTGGTCTAGGGCTCTGGGTGCTCTACTTGGACGGCACCATCTGGTCTCAGGTACTGAAGGGTGAGTGAGAAAATCTAGAGGTAGGTGCTCCAACTAAGCCACTGGATAGAGGCACCACCAGCCTGGATCCAACAGCAGCAGGGAAACTGAGATGGGTCTTTGGGGAAATGCGCTGGGCGTTCAGGGGAGGGTGAGGTTTCTTCATATTGGGGAACTTGCTTGGGCTCTGGACAAGTAGAGTCTGGGGAAAAGGCATTTCCAGGAGGTCAGGATGAAGGAAGGCAGCAGCTCCCCGCATAGGAGTGCAGGCTGTGAAGACGAGTAGCAGAAGGGGAGGCCACCAGGGCCAGGGCAGCTTCAGGGAGAGATCCGAATGCAATTAAAAGGCAATAGGGAGACAATGAAGATTTTTGAACAGGAGAGTGACATCATCAGATATTTTCTTTAGAATGGTTGACAGCAATATTTTTTGCATAATAGTCAATTCTGGAAAAAATAAAAATGTTTAAGGACCATAATTTTTTTTAATTCTTTTTTTTTCTTTTTTTGAGATGGAGTCTCACTCTGTCGCCCAGGCTGGAGTGCAGTGGCGCAATCTCAGCTCACTGCAAGCTCCGCCTCCCGGGTTCACGCCATTCTCCTGCCTCAGCCTCCTAAGTAGCTGGGACTACAGGCATGCGCTACCACGCCCAGCTAATTTTTTGTATTTTTAGTAGAGACAGGGTTTCATTGTGTTAGCCAGGATGGTGTCGATCTCCGGACCTCATAATCCGCCAGCCTTGGCCTCCCAAAGTGCTGGGATTACAGGTGTGAGCCACCACACCCGGCCAAAAATGTGTATTTTTTAAAAACCCTGAAATGTAATACCTGTAAACTCTTTTTATAAGTTATTATTTTTGAAAATTTCTGTATTATTAAAGGGTATCTTTTTTTTTTTTTTTTTTGAGATGGAGTCTTGCTCTGTCTGTTGCCCAGGCTGGAGTGCAATGGCATGATCTTGGCTCACTGCAACCTCTGCCTCCTAAGTTCAAGCAATTATCCTGCCTCAGCCTCCCAAGTAGCTGGGATTACAGGCGCATACCACCACGTCTGGCTAATTTTTCATATTTTTAGTAGAGACAGGGTTTCACCATATTGGCCAGGCTGGTCAAGTGATCCGCCAGCCTCAACCTTCCAAAGTGCTAGGATTACAGGCGTAAGCCACCGTGCCCAGCCACTTTTTATTATTTTTTTTTTTTTGAGACAGACTTTCGTTTTATTGCCCATGCTGGAGTGCAATGGCACCATCTTGGCTCACCACAACCTCTGCCTCCCAGGTTCAAGCGATTCTCCTGCCTCAGCCTCCTGTGTAGCTGGGATTACCGGCATGCACCACCACATCTGGCTAATTTTGTATTTTTAGTAGAGATGGGGTTTCTTCATGTTGGTCAGGCTGGTTTGAACTCCCAACCTCAGGTGATATGCCCGCCTTGGCCTCCCAAAGTGCTGGGGTTACAGGTGTGAGCCACCATGCCTGACCCCAGCCACATTTTTTAAAATTAATCTTTTTATTTTGAAATAATTTTAGATAACAGAATTACAAATATAACAGAGTTCCCATTTACTCTTCACTCAGCTTCACCTTATGTTAACGTCTATAACCATGGAAAAATGATCAAAACTAAGTTAGTATCAGTACAATGCTATTAATTAAACTACAGACTATATTTGTATTTTACTAGTTTTCCCATTAATGTCCTTCTTTGGTGCCAGGATGCCATATTACATTCGTTATTGTGGCTCTGTTGATCTCCTCCAACCTGTGACATTTCCTTAGTCTTTCTTTTGTCTTTCATGACCTGGACACTTTCAAAGAGTACTGGTCAGATATTTAGAATGTCCCCAATTTTGGTTTGGCTGATGTTTTTGTCATGATTATTGGGAAGGGTGCCACATAGTTGATGTACCCTTCTTGGTGTGTGTCAGCAGTACGTGATGTCAAGATGTATTATATTGATCACTTGGTCAAGGTGGTATCTGCCAGCTTTTGCTACAGTAAAGTTGCTATTTTTCCTTTTTTACAGAATACAGACTTAGATACTTCAAGACTCTGCAAATATCCTCTTTCTGCTTAAATTTTTGCCCACTAATGTTAGCATCTATTAATGGATCGTGCCTCAACAATTACTGTGGTGTTCTCATGGTGATTTTCTGTATTCGCAATCCTTTTGCATTTATCAACTGGAATTTTTCTATAGGAGTTGCCCCTCTCTGCTACTTGTTTATTCAGTTGTTTGTATCTATAGGGACTCAGGTTTATTTTATTCCTTGGGTTACAATACAATACTATCATTTATTTTACTGTTCAAGTTCCAACTTTGGCCATTGAGAGTTCCTTCAGGTGGGCTCCTGTGCCCTTTTGTTTTTTTTTTTTTTTTTTTTTTTAATTTTTATTTTTTTTATTGATCATTCTTGGGTGTTTCTCGCAGAGGGGGATTTGGCAGGGTCATAGGACAATAGTGGAGGGAAGGTTGGCAGATAAACAAGTGAACAAAGGTCTCTGGTTTTCCTAGGCAGAGGACCCTGCGGCCTTCCGCAGTGTTTGTGTCCCTGGGTACTTGAGATTAGGGAGTGGTGATGATTCTTAACGAGCATGCTGCCTTTCAAGCATCTGTTTAACAAAGCACATCTTGCACCGCCCTTAATCCATTTAACCCTGAGTGGACAGAGCACATGTTTCAGAGAGCACAGGGTTGGGGGTAAGGTCACCGATCAACAGGATCCCAAGGCAGAAGAATTTATCTTAGTACAGAACAAAATGAAAAGTCTCCCATGTCTACTTCTTTCTACACAGACACGGCAACCATCCGATTTCTCAATCTTTTCCCCACCTTTTCCCCCTTTCTATTCCACAAAACCGCCATTGTCATCCCGGCCCGTTCTCAATGAGCTGTTGGGTACACCTCCCAGACGAGGTGGTGGCTGGGCAGAGGGGCTCCTCACTTCCTAGTAGGGGTGGCCGGGCAGAGGCGCCCCTCACCTCCCAGACGGGGCGGCTGTCCGGGCGGGGGGCTGACCCCCCCACCTCCCTCCTGGACAGGGCGGCTGGCCGGGCGGGGGGCTGACCCCCCCACCTCCCTCCCGGACGGGGCGGCTGGCCGGGCAGAGGGGCTCCTCACTTCCCAGTAGGGGCGGCTGGGCAGAGGCGCCCCTCACCTCCCGGACGGGGCGTCTGGCCGGGCGGGGGGCTGACCCCCCCACCTCCCTCCCGGACGGGGCGGCTGGCCGGGCGGGGTGCTGATCCCCCCACCTCCCTCCTGGACGGGGCGGCTGGCCGGGCGGGGGGCTGACCCCCCCACCTCCCTCCCGGACGGGGCGGCTGGCCCAGCAGAGGGGCTCCTCACTTCCCAGTAGGGGCGGCTGGGCAGAGGCGCCCCTCACCTCCCGGACGGGGCGTCTGGCCGGGCGGGGGGCTGACCCCCCCACCTCCCTCCCGGACGGGGCGGCTGGCCGGGCGGGGGGCTGACCCCCCCACCTCCCTCCCGGATGGGGCGGCTGGCCGGGCGGGGGGCTGACCACCCCCACCTCCCTCCCGGACGGGGCGGCTGTCCTGTGCCCTTTTGACATCCTCCTTCCCCTTTTTTTGAGCCCTCCCTCACTCTCTGGAGTCACAGAAATTACTTTTCTGGGCAGGCGTGGTGGCGCATGCCTGTAATCCCAGAACTTTGGAAGGCTGAGGCAGGAGGATCACCTGAAGTCAGGAGTTCGAGACCAGCCTGGCCAACATGGCAAAACCCTATCTTAGCTAGGTGTGGTGGCACGTGCCTGTAGTCCCAGCTACTCAAGACGCTGAAGCACAAGAATCAGTTGAACCCGGGAGGCGGAGGTTGCAATGAGCAGAGATCTCTCCATGGCACTCTAGCCTGGGTGACAGTGAGACTTTATCAAAAAAAAAAAAAAAAAAAAAAAAGGAAGAAGTTATCTCTCCAAGGAGAATTATATTTGGAAACCTAGATCTGGAAGCTTGTGCATTCATCACCATGTGGGTATCACTACTTCTAGACTTTTTGGTGAACAGAGCTAGGAAATGTGTGTGTGTGCATGTAAACTAATCCACCCATAACACACATATATATTTATTTCCATACCAGTCTATCTATATATGTACATTGAACAAAAACCATCTATAATGATGCCTCGATCCCCAGCCTAGCACTACATGACTCATTCATGCCTTCTCCTTTTTCATATTTGTCATTTCTTTCTCCTGGCCAGAAACCTGGCTCTTGTTTTCTACCATATATCTGCTTATTTGTTCATCTCTAATATATATACATAATTAGTTTCGGAATTGCTAAGCCATAGTCCTAGAAACAAATTTACTAACTAGAGCATGGTGTCAGTATATAAGTTGTGGTTGTTTATCCTTGTGGTAGCCAGTCAAAATACTTTTTTCCCCAGTTATTTAGGTCAACTCTTTCTTCCCACCCGCTTCAGTGGGTTATTTAATTCACTTGTAATACAGTTAGATTCATTTGTCAGAGTCTGCATTTCATCTTTCCCCAATATCCTGGTTGATTTTATTGTGGCTGACATATGGCAGAATTCATTCTTTGTGGTGTACAGTTCTACATGTTTTGACAAATCCATGAAGTCACATATCCACCACCACAGTCCAATTCAAAAGAGTTCCATCACCCTCAACAGCCTCTCATGCTGCCTCCTTTACCCCTCGTCCCTCCCTGTCTGCTGGAAACCAGTCTTCTCTTTTCTATCCTAATAGTTTTGCCTTTCCTAAATTATATTAATGAGGCCATACAATGTGTAGTTTTTTGAACTAGTTTCTTTCATTTAACAAAATGCATTTAAGAGTCATCCATGTTGCTGCAGAGTTCCTTTTTATGGCAGAGTAATAGTCTGTTACAGAGATGTACCACACTTTGCTTATGCATTCACCTGCTGAAAGACATCTTCATATTTTCCACTTTTTTGGTGATTATGAATAAAATGGCTATCAACATTCATGTGCAGGTTTTTGTGTGAACATGAGCTTTCTTCTCTCTTGAGTAAATACTTAGGAGTGGGATTGCTGTGGACTCATTTCTTTCCTTTTCTTTTTTTCTTTTCTTTTTTTTTTTTTTGAGACAGAGTCTTGCTCTGTCGCCTAGGCTAGAGTGCGGTAGTGCAATCTTGGTTCACTGCAACCTCCGCCTCCCAGATTCAGGCGATTCTCCTGCCTCAGCCTCCTGAGTAGCTGGGATTACAGGTGTGTGCCACCATGCCTGGCAAATTTTTGTATTTTTAGTAGAGACAGGGTTTCACCATGTTGGCCAGGCTGGTCTTGAATTCCTGACCTCAGGTGATCCACCCGCTTCAGCCTCCCAAAGTGCTGGGATTACAGGAGTGAACCACTATGCCCAAACGTGTATGCCCATTTTGAATTCCCACCAGGAATGTATGACAGCATCAGTTGCTCCACATCCTTGCCAATATTTACCATTTCCAGTTTTTGGTTTTGTTCTTCCATTCTAGTAAGTGTGTAGTGGTATTTCATGATGGTTTTAATTTGCATTTCCCCAATGATTAATGATGTTGAGCATCCTTTCGCATGCTTACTTGCCATTTATATATTTCCTTTGTTCTTGGTTCAGATCTTTTGCTCATTTCATTTTATTTACTATTTTTTTTGAGATGGAATTTCGCTCTTGTTGCTCAGGCTACAGTGCAATGGTGCGATCTTGGCTCACCACAACCTCCACCTCCTGGGTTCAAGCAATTCTCCTGCCTCAGCCTCCCGAGTAGCTGGGATTACAGGCATGCACCACCACGCCTGGCTAATTTTGTATTTTTAGTAGAGATGGGGTTTCTCCATGTTGGTCAGGCTGGTCTCGAACTCCCGACCTCAGGTGGTCTGCCCGCCTCAGCCTCCTAAAGTGCTGGGATTACAGGTGTGAGCCACCGCGCCTGGCCCTTTTACTCGTTTTAAGTTGGGTTGTTTATTTTTTTATTGCTGAGTTTGGCAAATTCTTGATATATTCTGGAAATAAGTCTTTTGTCAGAAATGGGATTTGCAAATATTTTCTCTCAGTCTGTGGCTTGTCTTCTCATTCGCTTAACAATGTCTTTCACAGAGTAAAAGTTTTAATTTTAATAAAGCCAAATTTTGTCAAAATTATACAAATATTATCTTTTTTTTCCTATTATGGATCACATTTTTGGTGTCATATCTAAAAATTATTTGCCTACCCCAAGGTCATGCGGATTTTCTCCTGTTTTGCTCTAGAATTTTTATAGTTTTGGCTTTTGCATTTAGGTTTATGATCCATTTAATTTTTTTATTGTGGTGAAACATGCATGATAAAATTTGCCATTTTAACCATTAAATTTAACATTTTAAAGTGTACAATTCAGTGAGTTTAAGTATATGCACAATGTTGTGCAACCATCACCCCTATCTATTTCCAGAACTTTTCCCGTGACCCATTTTGAGCTAGTTTTTGTATAAGGTGTGAAGTTATAGGTTGAGATTCATTTGTTTCACTTGTGGACGTTCAATTGTTCCATCGCCATTTATTGAAAAGACTATTCTTTTGCCATTTAATTGTCTTTTGACCATTGTTGAAAATCAGCTGAATTTGTACCTTTTCAATTTTGTTGTGGGGCTAGTATTTCAGAAACCACATAACCAGCATGTGCTGTACCCTCTGATTAAACTGTTGTGCTTTTGAACTACTGGTTTGTGAGGTAAGCCATCATGGTACTGAGAGGTGGGTCTGAAAGCAGTTAGGGGTGGGAGGTGCATTGACTGTACAGTTAATCCAAGGAGCTTGGCTGACATTTTGAGGACAGTGGGAGTTTGCACTAAAAGGTCTTAGGCAGCAGTGACCTGATACGATTCACACAGTGGAAAGATTGCTCTGGCTACAGTGTGGAAAATGGATCGAGGTAGGGGAGAATCAACACTAGTCAGGAGTGGCTGGAGGAAGTGGACCCATTGAATAAATACAAAGAAGGCCAAACCACATGGATCTGGGAATCAATCAGATATATAAGAGAAAGCAGAGAAGAAAAAAGCGGGGGCCAGGATAGCTCAGTACATGGCTGTGCAACTCCTAAAGGAGAGAACAAAGGAGCTGGGGCAGGGGTCTTTTGGAGGATGGTGGCGGGGAGGTGATGAGTACAGCTTTGACTGGGTTGAGTCTTTGAGTTGTCGCTGGAGTGCCCACTGGGAGAGGTCCACAGGCAAAAAGATTTATGGGTCTGTGACCCAGGAAAAGGATTTGGGTTAAAAATGTAGATGTGTGAGTTGTCAGCATATGGATGGTATTTGAAGCCATTGGAGTGGTGAGACTTTCTCAAGAAGGGACAGTGGAGTAAGAGGAGGGGAGAGGCCAAAGGAGAAATCCTAGGAACATCATCAGGAAAAGGGTGGTGGTGAGAGGAACAGAAGTGAAGGATACAAGGATAGGACATCCACCAAGACAAGCGGAAAACAAGAATGTCACAGAAACCGAGGGAAGAGAATCTTACAAGAAGGGGGAAGTTATGCAAAATTACAGAATATTCAAGAAATAATAATGCCTAGGGCGTGTTCTTTCTGCAGGACCCTACTATCCTCAACAAGGAAAGCATCAGGAACAGTGAGGAGGGAGTTTTGGTGGTGTAATGGTGGTGGAAGCTATATCTCAGTGGAATGAGCATGAATAAGAGTGAGGAATTGTAGACAGCAGCTGCAGACAACTCTTGCAAGAAGATTGGCTGTGAGAGGTGGGAACGCAGGGGCTAGCTGGAGGGGACCTGGCACTGAAGGAGGGCTTCTTGACAGGAGTGACTTGAGCATGCTTAAATGTTGATGACAAGGGGTCAGTGAAGGAAAGGAGAGGGGTAGTAGAAGGAACATCATCTCAGAGGAAGGGGGAGGGGGTCCGGAGCATGGTGGAAGTGCCAACTGCTGTGTTGGGAGAAGAGGAAAAGGTGGTTAGAGATGCTGGTCAATGCATTGTTGTGGCAACAGGGAGTAGAGAATTTACACTTGGTGGCTCTATTTTTTTCTCTAAAGTTGATGGGGAGATAATCTCCTAAGAGCAAGAAGGGAGGCAATAGGGCAGAAAGTTTGAGAAGAATAATCATTGTGAGAATGGGAGAGAAAGCTAATTAAAGAGCATAGAATTGCTGGGGAGGGTTGCGAGCAGAAGAGAGGTTGGAGACTAGCACACTAATGGCCTCAATCTTTGGGGTTGGTAATTTTATTCATTGTTGCTCAGCAGCCCAGATGTAAGAGCCAAGAAGAATAGTTTTACTGACCCACGCAGATATAATCTAAGAACAGTGGGCAGGAGAGTTGATGATATTGGGAAGAGTGATTTAAAAGAGGGGTCATGGGAATTCCATGTTGGATAGGGAAAGAAATGATGACTGAGGGAAAGCTTGAGAAGGACAGACTAGAGAAATCAAGGGTCTGATGGAGTTAAAAGAAAAGATGAAGTAGAAGTGGGAGAGGCAGAAAGCCATGAGAAAGCCATGCCATCAGAGTGGGTGTGTGAATTTATGATTTCAGACGGGAAACAGTGCCCAGTAATGACATATCCAAGGTGCAGCCAGGGAAGGGTGTGTCTGAAGCACATGGAAATGAAGGTCATTAAGGAGGTCATGGCAATGAGCTTCCAGGGGTTAGGATGGCTCATCCACACTGGTGACAGGAGGACTAGAGGTAGGGAAGAAGACTGTGAGTCCAGGGCTGAAGTTTCAAGGAATCGAGGAGTGGGCAGGAGGTCAAGGAAAGTCAAGGGTGAGGTTGGGGTAAACATTGATGACTGCCTGATAAATCTCTAATGAACACATGGATGCATGAATCAGTGAATAAGTGAGCAAATGAATGCATTAATTCAGACTAATCTGGCACATTCTGGGAATGCCTAGTCATAAATCTTGAGATTCCCAAAGAAAACACCAGGCTCAGAGAAGGCAGATTACTAGGAGTGTAGAGGCCTCAGGTTATCGTAAGAGTTGAAGATGAGCAAATCTTTTCAGCCTATCCTATCTGAGAAGCTGTTTGCACTCTCCAGAACAGCCCATGTTCAGTACGGTAGCTATTAGCTCCTTGCAGTATTCAGAACCTGAAATACGGCTAGTCCAAATTCAGATGTGATGTCCAAGTAAAATACACACTGGATTTTGAAGACTTAGTACAAAAAAAGAACATAAAATATCTCATCTTGAACTATTGATTACAAGTTAAAATACAAAATTTTTGGATCTATGGGGTAAAATAAAATATTATTAATTAATTTCACTTGCTTTATCAATTGATTTATTTTTACTTTTTACATGAGGCTACTAGAAAATTTTAAATTGCATATGTGGTTCACAACATATTTCTTTTGGGCAGCACTGTCCCAGGCGTTGGTCCGTAGCCTCTGTAATCCTGAAGAAAGCACTATGCCGCCCCAATATTTGCACATGTTCAACCAATAAGTTAATAAATGCAGCCACTCTGTTGGAATTCCACATATATTTGTTGTCATAAGTAAAATTTTAGCCCTCAAGGGCTTAAATTTCTTATAGACTGGAAATGTCCCTTTAAGAGAGCATCTTAAGTCTCTCAAAGTATTGCAAAACCTCCCACTTGCTCCATTACATAGGTTCTGCACCCTGGAAACCATGGTAGTGATGGATGCAGGTGCTCATACTTGTCTTCATTGTTAGCACAGCTGGAATGAATTGAGGGAATCGTCTCTCTTCTTGGGATATTTCTGAAACAATGAGGCTGGAGACTGTGCAGATTGCACTTGTAATTTTCCTCTGACTGGGGAAGCCTAAGGCTCCACTCCTTCGGCCAAGTCTCCTTGGAACCTGTAGTTATTGGCTTGCTTAGTAATACTCATTACAATTTGGAGGGCAGGAGCTCTATTTTAGCCAGAAATTGTGGAAGAAGATCCTACATCAGCCACGTCTGGAGCTGCTTTTCTGCCCAAATCCAAAAATGTAATAGTAAACATTGAGAGTTTATACTGGGTCAGGCACAATGAGGAAACTGAGGCCCCAAGAGCTTAGGCAACCTGAGAGATTCCACAGGTAAAAAGTGGCAGAGCCAGGATTTCAACTCAGTTGGTCTAACTCCAAAGCTTGTGATCCTTATATCACCCTACACCTTCCAACACGGCTGATTATGGACCAGGAAACAAAAAGAGGGAAGCCTCACTTAACTGGCCGCAGAAAAAGCCTCTGAAAGAACATAGATCAGTTGGGCTGACACATTGTGCCCACACTGTGCACTGAACAGCCCAGTTGAGACTGGATCCTTTAGCAGAGGTTCCCAAACCGTGCATTGGAATAAGTAAGTGTTTAAGGGCCTCATTCCAGGGCTGCTAAATCAGAACTCTGGGAGTAGGGCCTAGAAATTTGTATTTTGAAAGCATTTTCCCAGTGGAGATAAGGGAACCGTTACCCTTGATTAGGATCTGATTTGGAACTTGGACTTCTGGATAACTCATGGTACAAAATGGAAGGAGGGTACAAGGAGGGTTTTACTTAAGCTACATCAAAGGAGGGGGCCTGACCTCGGGAGCGCCTTTGGTAGATCCACCATTTGTGCACTAATTTCTAAGCAGCTTCCCAACCTTCAGATTGCTGGGCCTCTGTTTCATCTCAAAGGGATAAGTGCTGTTGCCTGAAGGCAGGCAGACATTGCCACCTCTAGAACTAAGGGTAAGTAGTGGGAAGGCCACAATACTAACTCTCTCCTTCTTCCTCCTATTAGCCTTTCAGTGTTATGATGTACCCAGCTGGTCCAGGATCTGGTGACTCCCCAGAAGGCTTCCCTGAACAACCAAGGCTCCAGCCACAAACTGGAAATCGTGCAACTCAGACACTGGGTACTGAAACTGGGTGCATTGTCCAGTCCCTCCTTCAGAGCCTGTTTGGGGTAGAAGATTGGGGGAGGGGGACTGGGGAAGAGAGACTCAAAGAGGTCGCAGGTGGCACAGAAGTGATGGCAGAACTGGCCTTCATTTAGTGACATATGCTTTGTTCAACCAGTCAGTAAAGGCTTATGTGGTGGCTAGTAGTGCTAGCGAATGCAGATTCGGCCGCTTGCAAAACCAACGAGCAAGGTCGTGGTATGGTAGAAGGAGACTGACTTTATTATAAACCAAAGCTAGCAGTGGGGAAAAACGATCCAGGCTTTTGCTTTAATGGAGCTGCTTCACATTTCCAAGCAAAATGCGAGGCTTTAAGAAGTTTTGGCATGGAGGGTATGCAAGGGGTGAGGCAGTGCAGGTCTTCATGACGAGTTCTGATGACTTGTCTTGAGTTACTGCCCATCTGGTGAATGGGCTGGCATCATCTCGGGCTGGGCTGAGTTATAAATTAACTGTAGCCTTGAATCAATCTCCTGGTGGAGATTTCCACAGATGCCTATATTGTTTCAAGATTTAGTCTCTGGAACTTTTAAGCGAACATACAATTAGATATGCTAACAGTGTGTATGGGGGGTGCTGGGGTGTCGGGGGGTGCCTAGTGGTTAACTGAACAAAAATAAAGAAATAGAAGTATATAACAAGAATATAACTTCCAAGCTGGGTACTTGGTTACAATAGGTGCTTGGATTGTATTAGAGATACCTCAAAGTGAGCAAACAACCAGCCAGAACTGGTCCCTGGCCTTGTGGAAGTTTCTCTCTTCTGTCTCTCTCCTCTCTCCCTTCTCTCTCTCCTCTCTTTGTCCTCTCTCCTTTCTTTCTTGACTTCCTTACCAATGGGAAACCCTGTTTTTCTAGATTAGGGAAAAGAAGGCCCGTTTAGAAAGTAGGGAAGGAGACAAAGTCTTACTTCCTGAAGCAAGGTAGGACTCAATTTGTGACCTAGAATCTGAGACAGGGAAGTAGAGGCAGGAAAACGGGGGAAATGGGGGAATAACTCGCTTCCTTTCTGGGTCGAGAAGGGCTAGAAGTCAAGGTTCAGTGGAGCCTTAGAGAAAGTCCAGCTCTTCATTTTACAGGTGAGGAAACTGAGGGGCGGAGAGGCTATAGTGTGGTAACAAGGTGGACACCTAGTCAGCTGCAGAAGTGGGAATAAACTGTGGCCTTTGAATAACACTATGGGGCCTCCAGTGAGGCGCTCAATTTTAATTCGGGACGCCTGGGTGGCAGCCGGGTGCTAGGGGTGGCTAGTTGCCATGGGAACCGGCTCCTCCCACTTCCTGCGTGCGCACCCGTAGACCTGCGCTCCCAATAAAGTTGTTGTTGAAGCGCGGCGGCGGCACCACGTGGGCCGGACCGGGCCGGGGGCGGGGCCGAGCTGAGGGAGGACCTGCTGGCTGCAGTGAGGAGCGGAGGCGGGCGCGGGCGGCCGGCCATGATCGCGTCGTGCTTGTGTTACCTGCTGCTGCCGGCCACGCGCCTCTTCCGCGCCCTCTCAGGTACCGGCCAGGCGTACCGACAGACAGGAGCCCGGCCAGGGCTCGCCTCTGCGGGGCTCCGCGGGCCTGGGGCGGCGTGCGGTTGGCCGGGCCTCACGACTACCGTGCCCCGGGCAGTGCCGAGGTGTAGGGAGGCGGTCCTGAGCCCCTGCCCCGCGGGCCCCTCCTGACCCCACGAGGCCTGGACCTGGCCGACGTCCCTCGTGGGCGGCCCCTCCTCCCGCCTGTTGTCAGATGGCGTCCGGCCGCGGTTAAGGTGGAGAGGAGCTGTGGACGGGCAGGGCCCTTTCCTGGCCCTGGGGGTGCAGAGAAATTGTGGGGTCGGCCAAGTCAGCACCCCGGCGGGTCGGGAAGGGGTAGTAGCTCGGACCTAGGCGAGTGCCCAAATTCTCAGCGGGCGAGGCGGGTCGGCTCTGGGAGGTTTATGGCCGAAGTACTGGACGCACCGATCTTCCCCAGGTTAACTTCACACTCGCCTTTCACTGCCACCTGGCAGCTCTCGCTCACCGGTGTCTTTGGTTGAAAAACGGACGTTCAATCAGAGACACATTTAGATCTCAGCTTTGGAGCATTCCTGCCCCCACTCCCGGCGGTTTAGAGGGAGATGTGCTGGGGTGGGGGCAATGCCCAGTCGATACCTCAAAGAGGGGGTGTTTATTTCGTTATTGTTTCATAATTTGTCTGCATTCTCTATTTCTGGGCTTTGAAATTACGGAGGGTTTTATGCGACCATCAGTTTCTGAGATCCCATGGAACTCGCAGACTTTTTGCCTTTAATTTATGGGACAGGACCAAGAAGTACTTAGGAATGAGGGCTCCAATTGTATATTCTGTGGTTTTCCTTTGTGGAACTTTACACAATTGGTACGCAATGTGTGTGTCATTGATAATATATATTTCATATAGAAATATTTTAAATTTTACTGTGTATCTGCCATTAGAATGCAAACTTCAGGAGCGCAGGGCCACGTCCATTTTGTTCGCTGTATCTCTGGTGTTAACACATTGCTTGGTATACAGTAGGCACTCAGTGAATTCAGGAATGTCTTGTGTGTCCATACTTCTGAGGAATGTGGGAAACTCCACAGAAGTAATTGTTTCCAGAGAACTAAACATATTCTTTTAACTATGTTGCTGTTTTTCCTGGAGCTCTTCTAATGCCTTAGTGATACAGTATACTAGTCCAGAGGTTTCCAGACCAGTAGAGTTCTAGGGATCTCAGAGGAGGGCCCCCCCCGCCCCCCCACCTACACATTACAGTAGTCCCACTTATATTTACTTGGCATATTTGGTTTCCAGATAAGATTTTTAAAAAACAAAAGCATTCTGCTGCTGAAAATCCACCACCACCACCACCAAAAGACATCTACCAAAATTGAAAGCTAGTAACTTCGTGCATATGAACCAAAGAACCTCTGCCATCTGGTATACACAGAGGATATTTCAAGGGGCAGATAATCAGGAAGTCCTTGAGGCTAAAGCTCAACGACCCAGCCCATACATAGGTTTAGAGCAGGGTTTCTCAATCTCAGCACTGTTGACGTTTTGGACCGGATCATTTGGTGTGGGTCTGTCCTGTGAATTGTTGGAAGTTCAGCAGCGTCTCTGTCCTCTAACCACTAGATGCCAGTAGCAATGCTGCAGTTGTGACAACAACAGTGTCTCTGAACGTTGCTAAATGTCTTCCGAGGGCAAAATCACCGTGGTTAAAACCATTGTTTAGAAGGACATAAATATACATAGACCCCAAACAAGATATTTGAACCGTCTTTCAATATTTGAGCCACTTTTAAGGTTTCTTCCCTTTAAAAAAAAATTGCCAATAAAATGAGTCTAGTGATTGAGGGCCAGCATCGTGCATGTTACTCGTCCTGTGCTGTAAATAAATGGTTGAGTGTGTGAGTGTAGGAGTTGTTTGCTCTCACCAAAATACTGTGCTCAGAGTTTGGGGGCTCTAATTTTAGAGTTTTTCCCACTTTCTTTCTTGCCTGTTGGCTGTCATTGGTGGCTGCAGTATCAGAGAGATGTCAGCTGTCTCTTACTGTCGATTGTTGGCACCTTGTAATTTATAGCCTCTGATGTGTTGTGGAATGGGAAAGCAGATAATGAAGTTTGTGAAGATTTTATTACAATAAGTAGCTTTGAGAAAAGGCTTAAGGGCCCTTGCTAAGATGTAAATTGTATAGATTTTTGAGACTGTCTACTTTAGGACTTTTTCTTTTGGAATACATTAATAGATTAGGGAATTTATACAGCTAGAAAAGCTCAGAGATTATCTAGTTCAAACTTGTCTCTATTTTTTTAAATTTAAAATTTATTTTTTTCTTTTCTTTTCTTTTTTTTTTTGAGATGAGGTCTCACTTTGTCTCCCAGGCGGGAGTGCAGAAGGGCAGTCATAGCTCACTGCAGCGTCAACCTGGGCTCAAGCAATCCTCTCATTTCAGCCTCCCAAGTAGCTAGGACCATGGGCATGTGCCACCGTACTTGGCTAATTTTTAATTTTTTGTAGAGATGAAGTTTCGTTATGTTGCCCAGGCTGGTCTCTAACTCCTGGCCTCAAGTGATCCTGCTGCCTCTGTCTCTGCCTCCCAAAGTGCTGGGAGCCACCACGCCTGGCCTCTTGTCCCCATTTTACAGTCAAGAGTAACTTCATCTGACTAGGGGCATTGTTCAAGGTCAGTTTTATTAATTTTGGTGCTAGATCATAACCCACAGTTCTGATTAACAGTCAGTTGCTGGTTGCAATGTAATGTGATTCTTAGAACCAAAGAGTTTGTTAATAGTAGTCTTAACTAAGTCATGTAAAAGGAGTGTGGGTATATGTGCCCATCTGTGTTCTAGATTATGTGAGACAGCTGTTCTTTCATGCACTGAATATTTATCAGATCCCTGCCATATAAATTAGTCAACACTTGTAAAGAACAGTGCCTGGCACATAGTGAATACTTTGCCCTGATGATGATGATGATGTTCAGGCATTAAGGTAGGCAGGCTCAGTGATGGTACAATGATGAGCAAGGTGGATATGGGTCTTGCTTTTATTGGGCTTATGTTTTAGCTGGGAGAATAGTGTGGGTTGGATGACAGTCTTATAACCTGGTATTTTGGCTTTCCTCCTAGATGCTTTCTTCACATGTCGAAAAAATGTCCTTCTGGCGAACAGCTCATCCCCCCAGGTAGAGGGCGACTTTGCCATGGCCCCTCGGGGCCCTGAGCAGGAGGAATGTGAGGGCCTGCTGCAGCAGTGGCGAGAAGAAGGGTTGAGCCAGGTGCTCTCAACTGCAAGTGAGGGGCCCCTTATAGATAAAGGACTAGCCCAGAGCAGCCTGGCACTTCTGATGGATAATCCTGGAGAAGAGAATGCTGCTTCAGAGGACAGGTGGTCCAGCAGGCAGCTGAGTGACCTTCGGGCTGCAGAGAACCTGGATGAGCCTTTCCCTGAGATGCTAGGAGAGGAGCCACTGCTGGAGGTGGAGGGGGTGGAGGGCTCCATGTGGGCAGCTATCCCCATGCAGTCGGAGCCCCAGTATGCAGACTGTGCTGCCCTCCCAGTGGGTGCCCTGGCCACAGAGCAGTGGGAAGAGGACCCAGCGGTGTTGGCCTGGAGCATAGCACCTGAGCCTGTGCCCCAGGAAGAGGCTTCCATCTGGCCCTTTGAGGGCCTGGGGCAGTTGCAGCCTCCCGCAGTGGAAATACCATATCATGGTGAGTCTGACAACTGGTTGAGTGAGCCAAGGGAACAGGGTGTCTCAGGTGTGGGCAGAGCCATTGCTAAAGAGAAGATTCTATGGTAGGGAGCTCTGCCACTGCATTCTATTTTTCTAAGAATCTTGGCATGTCAGATCTAGAGGGTCCTTACAGATCATCTCATCCAGCCCCATGGTTTTAAAGGTGAAATAATCAGAGTGCAGAGAGGTAGTAGAACATGACTAAAGTCATAAAGCCAGGTAGGGGAAGAACTGAAAGCATACTCTAGTTCTGATTCTCCACAATGTCATTTCTCTGGTGGTAACCCTAGGGCTTTCTGGAGGTAGGGATAGAGAGGTCTCAGGGCCTCTAGTCTCTGTCTCAGTCACAATTACCTCAGTTTTATTTGTGTTGTATATTGAGAGTCCGTTAAAATTTGAAGAATGGCGTCAATAGATTTGAAATCCACTATGCTGCCACATGCCATAGGGGAGATGGGGACACACCATAGTTTCTAGTCCCACAGACTCTTCCAGGTTTAGGGGTCAGAAAACACCCAGGGCTGCAATTACTCTAAAAATGTCTTTAACCTCAGGTGACTGTTAAGCACACTCATCTGAGTGATTCTCCGGAGATTCATGGATTTATCAAAAATGAGAGTGTGTCAGCTTCCATATATGGAGCATCTATTAGATGCTAGGTGCTGGGGATGTAGTGGTGAGCAGGCCAAGATTGTCTCTGGCCTTGTGGAGCTAACCATGTCATCTGAAGAATGTCCATAGAAATCAATTCCCCACAGAGAGGGATGGGTGACAGGGAAGATGGAAAAAGGAACTTCAGGCATAATATTACTGAGTCAGGAGTGGAGATGGCAGCACCTCTGCATTACTCATACTTGCCATTGAGTGCTTCTCCCAATCCTTTGCAGAAATTTTGTGGCGAGAATGGGAGGATTTCTCCACCCAGCCAGATGCTCAGGGCCTGAAGGCAGGAGATGGCCCTCAGTTCCAGTTCACTCTGATGTCTTATAACATCCTGGCTCAGGACCTGATGCAGCAGAGCTCAGAGCTCTATCTACATTGCCATCCAGACATCCTCAATTGGAACTATCGCTTCGTGAACCTCATGCAGGAATTCCAGCACTGGGACCCTGATGTGAGTGAAGAGGGGGAATTGCCATCTTGCATTGTTGCTGGACCTGGGCTGTTGCCCAGTGCTCTTAGAAGATGAGTTCAACCCATAGTTGTTCAAATGATTGGAGTCCTATCTAGGGCTGGAGCTTGCCTGCCTGGTGTCAGTGAGTTGTTGGCAGATGCTGAGAAGAATCTCCCTAGATGTGCACTTCCCAGCACCTTTATGCAGGAAGGGAGGCTTGAGGGATTCAAGGAGCAGGAAAATCCAGTGCACATCTCTAATCTCTTCAGCTTAAGTCTGGGCCTGTTCTTGCTGTTGGTGACTCTGGGAAGTTTCAGTGTGACCCAGCAGCTTCCCACCTGGCCTCAGGACCTGCTCCTAGAGGGTGGGGGTCACATTCCAGCACTCTGGAGTGATTGGGTTTCTTGTCAATTTCCCAGATCCTGTGTCTCCAGGAAGTCCAGGAAGATCATTACTGGGAGCAGCTGGAACCCTCTCTGCGAATGATGGGTAATGCAGCTCCCTGGGATGCTTGCCAGCTTTTCTTTCCACAGACTTGTCTACTCTCTCCTGAAGACCCCATCCTTTCCTTTTGTCTTAGTAAACCCTCAGTTTCACCTGTGAGCTAGCTCCTTCCATGTGTGCCTGAGAAAGTAGAATTCTGCAGTTTTATAGCAATTCTGACATACATTGCTATTTGATCCTTGAAGTAACCAATGTGGTGAGACTGTTATTCCCATTTTACAGATGAGGAAACTGAAGTTCTGAAAACTCATGTGACTTCCTCAGAATCACAAAGCTACAAAGCTAGTAGATGTGGAGCTAGGAATCCAGCTTGTCTGACTCTAGATTCTGTGCTCTTTTCTATCATGTTACATTGCTTCATACCCTTCCCTCCTTGCCCTTCCAGCCCCTCAGTCAGCTGGTTACGATGTAAGGGGGAACCTGCTGAACCAAGGAAGTGGCAAAGGCTCCTTTACTGAGTAGCAGGAACAATGCCTCAGGGGCATACACTGGGACTGCTGGTGCTGGTTGGAAGGGATTCAGGCTTTAAGGACTCTGACCCATCTCTTTGGTGGGATTTTCCTTGCAGGCTTTACCTGTTTCTACAAGAGGAGGACTGGGTGTAAAACCGATGGCTGTGCTGTCTGCTACAAGCCTACCAGATTCCGCCTGCTCTGTGCTAGCCCTGTGGAGTACTTCCGGCCTGGCTTGGAGCTACTTAATCGGGATAATGTGGGCTTAGTGTTGCTACTGCAACCACTCGTCCCAGAAGGCCTGGGACAAGTCTCGGTGGCCCCGCTGTGTGTGGCAAATACCCATATCCTTTACAACCCACGCCGGGGCGATGTCAAGCTGGCCCAGATGGCCATTCTCCTGGCGGAAGTGGACAAGGTGGCCAGACTGTCAGATGGCAGCCACTGCCCCATCATCTTGTGCGGGGACCTAAATTCTGTCCCTGATTCACCTCTCTACAACTTCATCAGGGATGGAGAGCTCCAGTACCATGGGATGCCAGCCTGGAAGGTGAAATGGGAGAGGCCACGGTGTGGGTGGGAACATGGTCTAAGAGAGATTCAGGCGTTAGCATCAGTGCTTCTTCTGTGGCAGGGACCTCAGTACACCTGCTCTGGCCTGCTCCTCCTTTTTCTTGTTATGTTGAATAGCTTGTACCCAAGCCTGGAAGTTAAGAATTCTTGAGTACTTCGGCATATTGGAATTTTTTTCAGTTTTTATCATTAATATTTTTAATTCACAAGTAATACGTAAGTACATACTTGAAGGAACTTAAACATTATACAGTAAGACACAGGCCTGTTTTATTACCCACATTCCCTATTCTATTCTCTTAGAGTAACATAATGACCGTTCTAAGTTTGGTGGTAGTCTTTTAGCTTGTTTTCTTTGCATTTACAGTGATATCTATGTTCCTATGATATTGTAATCAGTGTTTACATTTGTTAAGCACTTAAGTGTGTGCCATGTGCTATTTTAAGCACTTTATACTCATTAACTAATTAGTTTTCACAGTTTCCATCATGGCTTCCATTTTATAAATGAGGAAACTAAAGCTCAGAAAAGTGAAGTAATTTGCCCTAGGTTATGCGGGTAGTTAGTGGTGGAGCCAGGATTTGTAACCAGGTGGTCTGGCTGCAGAGCTCTTACCCTCAAATACTGTGCTGTCATTGCTTATAACAGCCAATATGTAATCTACCATGTGTGTTTTATAAACATGATACACTACTGTATGTTTCATTTGTAGCTTGTTTTTTTTCACTCAGCAATTTGCATATGGATCTCATTCCTTCTAACTGTTGAGTGTTGATGACAAACACCTCGTAGTTTTATCAGCTTGTGCTGATTTCTTTATGTCACTTAATCTCCTTGTTCCTCTATTTTGCCCCTACTGTTTCAATTTATTGACTAACTTTTGGCAAGGCACAATGGTGGAAGGACACAAAACGATTGTATTACTGTTGCGCACATGGGATTTTATGTAAATGAGCCAGATGTGTGCAGAGAAAGGCATGATCTTGCCCTAAAGGAGCTGTAATCAAGGAACTCAGGGAACGAGGAAAAGAATTTACTGACTGCCTGCCACATGACAGGCACTGTTAGGCATAGTGAATGAGAGCACTTGCTTTGAAGCCAGACAGTCCTGAGTTCAGATCCGTGCTCTGCCACCTTGAGCAAATTACTTAACTTTTTTGAACCCCATTTGCCTCATCTATACGATGGGGGATATAATGGGACCTGCCTCAGAGGTGTTTTTTTGGGTGGATTAAATAAAATAATGCGTGTAAAGTGTTTTCCAGTATCTGGCTCAAAGTCAGTAACCGGTAGTGATTATTAAGATTCTTAATTGTACATGGTATTATTATCCCATTTTATTTATTTATTTATTTATTTATTTATTTATTTATTTATTTTTTGAGACAGAGTCTCGCTCTGTTGCCCAGGCTGGAGTGCAATGGCACGATCTCGGCTCACTGCAACCTCTGCCTCCTGGGTTCATGTGATTCTCCTGCCTCAGCCTCCCAAGTAGCTGGGATTACAGGTGTGTGCCACCATGCTCGGCTGATTTTTGTATGTTTAGTAGAGACGGGGTTTCGCCATGTTGGCCAGGCTGGTCTCGAACTCCTGAACTCAGGTGATCCACCTACCTCAGCCTCCCAAAGTGCTAGGATTACAGGCGTGAGCCACTGCGCCTGGCCTATCCCATTTTATAGTAGGAGATATTGAACCCAAGAGAGTTAACTAACTTGCCAAAAGTCACACAGCTATTAAGTGGCCATTGAATTGCAGATCTGTTTTACTTCTGATGACATATTGAAAATTTATGCCCTTACAGGGCAAGGGGATTCTGTCTATTGCTGCTCTATCCCCAGCACCTAGCTAGTGTCTTTTGGCTTTCAAATATTTGTTGTTGTTAAATGGCATAAAGGGACTTTTGCTACACACGTTGGAGATGTGCAGATGACTGATGTTGCCGAATGTTTCCCCTACTACGTTTTGTCCGTTCCCAGGCTGCTCATTGGCTTTGACCGAGGATGGTGACGTAGATACGGTAAAGTGCTTTGGTGCTTTCCCATTTGGTTTGACCCTGTGGTTACCCAGTAATAGGTTCAGGATATTAGACCTTGATCCAGAAGATCCAAAGATGAGGATAAACCTTTAACCATTGCAACTTAAAGCCCCTGAGAGTTGATATTCCCTGTGGAGGAGAATTGTATTGATTTTTCAGAGGTAAAATTTAGGGAACCACATGTTCATACTATTCGATTCCCCTTGATTCAGTCTCTTACCCCTCCTCCTGTTTCATGGACATTTCAGTGTTGCCAGTGAAAAAGTAATGGTTTTAATTTGGTCCTTATTTTTAACCTGCCCCTGAGACTTATATGCTTGTTTATACCATGTACGTAGTGTGTGATTGTATGTGTTTGTATTTGTCCACATGTCCCAAAACATGGGCTGTTACTTCCTTTTTCTATCTTGGTTTCCTTATTCCCACCCTTCTTTTTCCACCCAGGTATCTGGACAGGAAGACTTCTCCCATCAGCTTTACCAGAGGAAGCTGCAGGCCCCACTGTGGCCCAGCTCCCTGGGCATCACTGATTGCTGTCAGTATGTCACCTCCTGTCACCCCAAGAGATCAGGTGAGCACATGTCACATTCTTGGTTGGCTGTGTCTTCATGCCCATTTTGGGAGAAAGCTGGTGTCTCAACGACAAGAAAAAGTGTAATCCCTCATTTCTCTTAGCAGATTCCTCTGTTTTCTCACTATCCTCCCAATGGCTGTCCAATGAAATGGACAACTTTAAATCATAGCCTTTGGAAAATCTCCTTGTCTTCTGAATGCTTCCTCTGTGTACCTATGCTGGAAGTTGCTTGGTACTAAGGAGGTCTCAGCATGTGGCTTCATCGTCTTTCTTTCACTATATGTCTTTTCCTGGTTTACAGAGAGACGCAAGTATGGCCGAGACTTCCTGCTACGTTTCCGCTTCTGCAGCATCGCTTGTCAGCGACCAGTAGGACTGGTCCTTATGGAAGGAGTGACAGATACTAAGCCAGGTAATGGGAACTAATCCCAGTTTCTTGGTCTTCTTTCTTCCTCATTCCTGATATTGGTCAGTTATGTGGTTTCCTGCTCTTTTCTAAGTATAATTCTTAGAGATTAGCTTCTGGTAATACGTATATTTAGAAGGAAGGTTAGTTGAGTTCAGTGGCCATTGCATGGATGTGCAGTGTGATAAGAGTGCCGGACCAGGAATCAAGACACCTGGGTTGTAACTAGCTTTGAGAGCTTGGGTAAGCCATTTAACCTTTTTAAGCTTAAGTTGCTAATGACTAGCATGTGTACAGCATATATAGGGGAGAAGTTACACATGATGGGGCTTTGAAAATCATAAGGTGACAGTGGTTCTGATTTTAATAAAAGTTGTTCCTACTGAGAAATTTCAGATTGAATATAGCAGAGTATACTTGACATTCTCCCCTTCTTGTCTCTGAAACCACTTCAAAGCAACAAGGAGAATGGAAAAAAGAAATGTAAACTCCATTGTAGACAAAACTGGGAAATTTGAAGATATCTGACACCAAGAACCACAACACAGAAGGAATGCCTGCAAGAAGCACTGGAGATCGTGCAGGGGTGCTAGAGGAAGTATAGAGAGACTTATCTGTGGGGATATGTGGATCTCAGAACTAGCTGAGTACTTTTTTCCATGTGGAGCATAAAACCCAAATCCCTTTTTTTTTTTTCAACAAGAGTAGAAAGCACAGGTCATGATAGGAGAGTCTCTGGACCCGTTTTGATCCTAAGAGGCAGTGGAGGAGGGACTGATCAAGGATCAAGCCATATTTCCATTAAGCAATCTGTTCAAGTGGTAGAGAGGGTAGATGAGATACTTGTAGAGCTGCCTATCTCTTTTGGCTTGGGAGAGAGAAAGATTTAAAAGGATGCTGACATAACCCTGTGTCAAAAAGAAAATTCCCGTTACTTGAAATACCCAGTCCTTCCCTTATATAAACTTTGTACAAATAGCTGGTGCAGAAAAACCTTAACTAATTCAAAGCTGGTTGTCAAAAAAGGAAAAGCATGGAATCTGTGCTAAAATACTGCAAGAAAAAAGGAACAGAAAAATAAAAGGCAGATAAAGAATGTTTAACTTCAAAGATAAAAATAATTGCCATGGAGCTCATAGAAATTACGATTACTTTCTCATGAATAAAGAAATTGTCTTTATTTTTTATTTTATTTTATTTTTTTTTGAGATAGAGTCTCACTCTGTCACCAGGCTGGAGTGCAGTGGCACCATCTCGGCTCACTACAACCTCTGCCTCCTGGGTTCAAGCAATTCTCTTGCCTCAGCCTCCCGAGTAGCTGGGACTGCAGGCACATGCTGCCACGCCTGGCTAATTTTTTTTTTTTCTTTTTTTGTATTTTAGTAGAGACAGGGGTTTCACTATGTTGTCCAGGCTGGTCTCGAACTCCTGACCTCAGGCAGTCTGCCTGCCTTGGCCTCCCAAAGTGCTAGGATTACAGGCGTGAGCCACCGCGCTGGGCCAAGAAATTGTCTTTATGAAAGAAAGAGCACAAAAATAAAATGGCTGCCTTTATAAAATAAGTTCAGGCATGTGGCAAGACATCAGAAGATGAAATGTAAGCTGCAGAGCTCAGAAAAGAAGTGGAATAAAAAATAAAAACATTACAAAAAATAAAGACAAAATTGTATGCAGCACAAGTAGGAATAGATAACTGTGGAAAACAAGGTAAGGAAATCCAAACAAAACAAATAAAAAAAACAGTGAGAAGTTAAAGGTTAGAAAGGATTAGAGAGAAAATGACAGTAGTGAAAGATAAAGGAGATTTAACTTATACATAATTGGAGTTCCCAAAGAAGAAAGCCTATAATATAATAACACAGAAGAAATATTTAAAGATAATTATCCAAGAAAGATTTTCCCAAAACGAAAAGATGTGAATTTTCAGATCGAGAAGACATGTGTCTCAGTAAAAAATGATACAGGAGCCAGGCACCCTGGCTCACACCTATAGTCCCAGCATCTTGGGAGACCAAGGCAGAAGGATTGCTTGAGCCCAGGAGTTTGAGACCAGCCTGGGCAACAAAGTGAGACACCGTCTCTACAAAAAAATCAAAAAATTAGCCAGGCATGGTGATGCATGCCTGTGGTCCTAGCTACACAGGAGGCTGAGGCAAGAGGATTGCTTGAGCCCAGAAGGTCAAGGCTGCAGTGAGCCATGTTCGTACCATTGCACTCCAGCTTGGGTGACAGAGTGAGACTGTGTCTCAAAAAAAAAAAAAAAAGATGTAGGAGAATTAATACTAAGACATTCCAGTGAGGTTCCTAGAAGTCAAAGATGAAAGAATCTTTTGGGCAGTTAAAAGATTGAGGTACTTTGAAGCCTAACGGTGATGAGGTTGACCTCAGACTTTTTTTTTTTTTTGAGACAAAGTCTTGCTTTGTCATCCAGACTGGAGTGTAGTGGTGTGATCGTGCCTCACTGCAACATCTGCCTCCTGGGTTTGAGTAATTCTCCTGCCTCAGCCTCCCCAATAGCTGGGGCTCTGGGCATGCGCCAGCATGCACGGCTAATTTTTTTGTATTTTTAGTAGAGACAGGGTTTCACCATGTTGGCCGGGCTGGTCTCAAACTCCTGACCTCAGGAGATCTGCCCACCTCATCCTCCCAAAGTGCTGGGATTACAGGTGTGAGCCAGTGCACTCAGAAGACTTCGGACTTCTTAATATTGACATCCAACTCTAGAAGACAGTGGATTAAGGTTTCTAGGAAAGGATATATAGTTCAAGAATATTATACTCAACTAACAACATTTCTTCAAGAAACTGCTAGAGGAGTAACTGAAGGCAATGGCTGGGAAAACTATAGTGAAAGGACTGCTGATGAACACTGAATTTATTCTCTTCTTGTAAGAATTTAACTTGAATTGGCATTTTGCACAGAGCAACAAATATGTCAGTGGCCCAGTTTATTTTAATTGCAAAGTCAAAGTATTATTACAGCTATGGCAGTAGCAATAGTGATAACAATGATGGCCACCCTGTATTGAGTGAACCAGCAGGTAGCAGGAATTGGGTTAAGTAAATTCTGTGTCAGTCAGGTTCAGCCAGGGGAGCCGTAGCTCAGTGATTTAGGATTATAAAAACAGTAACAGGATCTCACTTAGATAATTTCATAGTAAGAATAGGTTATTTAAATCAGTGATGTACTTGAATGAAACATAAAATAAATAGTAACAAAATTAAACCAAGACCTTTAAAATATATACTGACAATCACTTTGTAGGTAGAAAAGACTCATTCTATAGGGGCAAAGTAGCCAGTTCACCAGCGGTGCAAAATAACAGTATTTTCAAAATTGAGATTAGATTTGGGTAAACATACTTATTCTCCACATACTTTGAATGTACCCTTCTATTTGTTCAATGCTCCTACCCAGGGCTGAACAGGCTCTTGATGAATCTCAAATCTAATTTTTTTTTTTTTTTTTTTCATGACAGAGTCTCACTGTTTCACCCAGGCTGGAGTGCAGTGGTACAGTCATGGCTCACTGTGTAGCCTTGATCTCCTAGGCTCGTGTGATCCTCCCACCTCAACCTTCCGAGTAGCTGGGACTATAGGCACATGATACCATGCCCAGCTAATTTTTGTATTTTGTAGAGACTGGGTTTCACCATCTTGCCCAGGCTGGTCCCGAACTCTTGAGCTCAAGCCATCCTCCTGGCTCGACCTCTCAAAGTGCTAGAATTACAGGAGTGAGCCACCATGCCCAGCCAACTATCTTTATTTTAAAAGGGCCATGAATGGGCCGGGCGCGGTGGCTCACGCCTGTAATCCCAGCACTTTGGGAGGCTGAGGCGGGCGGATCATGAGGTCAGGAGATCGAGACCATCTTGGCTAACATGGTGAAACCCTGTCTCTACTAAAAATACAAAAGATTAGCCAGGTGTGGTGGCGGGCGCCTGTAGTCCCAGCTACTCGGGAGGCTGAGGCAGGAGAATGGTGTGAACGCGGGAGGCAGAGCTTGCAGTGAGCCGAGATTACACCGCTGTACTCCAGCCTGGGCGACAGAGCAAGACTGTGTCTCAAAAAAAAAAAAAAAAAAAAAAAAAAAAAAAAAGGAGGCCATGAATGGAGTACAACGAGATCTTAGTGTGTGAGTTCATTTTTCTAGAGGCTCTGATTAGATATGCTAACAATATTTCCAGTTCAGTACCAGAATCATCCAACCCAACTGTGCATTTCAAACCATGACAACTTAACTGTGACACTAGCTTGAATGGGGAGCCTCTGAGTACAAAGGAAGATTCAGTGCTAGGTAGTGATGGTTTGATTTTCCCATAAGCTGACATTGCATTGTACTGGAGCATTCTGTGCCATCCAATGTGTATAATAAAATACATTGTGATTCTTACTATTTCCAACTCCCTTTGTTTTTTTTTTTTTTTTTTTGAGACAGAGTCTCACTCTATCACTCAGGCTAGAGTGCCGTGACACAGTCTTGGCTTACTGCAGCCTTTGCCCCCGGGTTCAGGCAATTCTCGTGCCTCAGCCTCCCCAGTAGCTGGGATTACAGACATGCGACACCATGCCCAGCTAGTTTTTGTATTTTTAGTAGAAACGGGGTTTCACCACGTTGGCCAGGCTGGTCTTGAACTCCTGGCCTCAAATGATCCACCCACCTCGGCCTCCCAAAGTGCTGGGATTACAGGTGTGAACCACCAGGCCCAGCTCCCAACCCCCTTTGTAATGGAATAATTTGTAAAAAGGGTATTTAATTTTTAAGTCTCCCTCATTGTCAGCATTTCTATTATAAATGATTTCTTTTTTCCAGTATGGTTCTTAAAGATATTGTCTTAGTCCATTTGGGCTGCTGTAACAAGATACCATAAACTGGATAGCTTTTAAACAATAGAAATTTATTTCTCATGGTTCTGGAGGCCAGGAAGTTGAAGAGCAAGGCACTGGCAGAGGCTGGGTACAGTGGTTCACACCTGTAATCCCAGTACTTTGGAAGGCTGAGGTGGAAGGATTACTTGAGGCCAGGAGTTTGAGACCAGCCTGAGCAACATAGCAAAACCCCATCTCTACAGAAAATTCAAAAAGATTAGCTGGGCGTGGTGGCATGCGACTGTAGCCTTAGCTACTCAGGAGGCTGAGGTGGGAGGATCACTTGAGCCCAGAAGTTTGAAGTTACAGTGAGTTATGATTGCCCTACTGCACTCCCGCCTGGGCAACAGAGACCCTGTCTTTAAAAAAAAAAAAAACAAAGGCACTGGCAAATTTAGTGTCTGGTGAGGGCCTGGTTCCTGGTTCATGAGCATCATCTTCTCAGTGGTAGAAGAGGAAGAGGAAAGGGGTCTCTTGGGCATCTTTTATAAGAGCACTAATCCTATCCATGAGGACTCCACACTTGTGACCTAATCACCTCCCAAGGTGCCACTTCATCACCGTGGGGGTTAGGATTTCAACATATGAATTTGATTGTGGGGACACAAACATTTAGACCATAGCAGACATTAAAAGGAATTACTGTGTTTTCTTTCTCATAGACACTGGCACATTACACTGAATCTTGGGGCTTTAAGTCTTTTAACAAGTAAGAGCAAACCATGTGCACAATTTAGCACATTACAGAAAAGGCAATTGCTAATGGGCGATTTTTGTAAACTCCTAGTTAACAAACTGACCGGAAGGTCACACAGTCACACAGCAAAGGCTAAGGCTATCTGGTCAGTTCTCTTTCACACAGTCACACAGCAAAGGCTAAGGCTATCTGGTCAGTTTTCTTTTTTTTTCGAGACGGAGTCTCACTCTGTCACCCGGGCTGGAGTGCATTGGCGCGATCTCAGCTCACTGCAATCTCTGTCTCCTGGGTTCAAGTGATTCTCCTGCCTCAGCCTCCTGAGTAGCTGGGATTACAGGTGCATGCCACCACACCCAGCTAATTTTTTGTAGTCTTAGTAGAGATAGGGTTTCACCATGTTGGCCAGGCTGGTCTTGAATCCTGGCCTCAAGTGATCCCCCGGCTTCGGCCTCCCAAAGTGCTAGGATTACAGGTGTGAGCCACTGTGTCTGGCCTATCTGGTCAGTTTTCTAAGCAGAAAAGTTCTTTTTAGCTTGTTTGTTTTTTAACAAGCCTACAACTAACATCATAAAGAGCAGGAAAGTCCTAAATCCAGCTTCTTTACTGGCTGTTGTGTGATACAACTGAGGATCCTCTTCCCAAGTTCTTGCAGAGGAACTTGCATGCGTGGCTGCTACTATTGCTGAATGGGCCCAGGAAGAGGCTGTAGCTCATGTAGAGGTAGCAGCTTATGTGACCTGGAGCAGAGTAGGTGGAAGCCTTGAGTCCTGTATAACTGCCAGAGCAGTGCTGTTTGTTCACAGTGCTGCATGGTAAGAATGGTGTCTAGGGAAATCATGTTTAAGATCCTGCAGGTCACTGTGATTTTGTGTGTGTGTGTGTGTGGCATATTGTAATGACAAAGGATGTAACTTAAAGATACTAGTGTTAAAAATGTTTATGCTCCAAATAACATTGCATCAACAATCACAAAGTGAAACCATAGGCTGTAACATGGAGTAATAGACAATAACTAAAGGTAGAAGGCTTTAATTGATCTTTCTGAGTCTGCAGCAGATCAAGTAGATAAAAGATGACTAAGAATATAGAATAACTAAGTAACATGTCGGATGATAAATCTGATTCATATATATCAAACACCGAACATTGACAGCAGAGAAGACATTTTCTTTTTAAGTATTCATAGGAAATTCTTAGGAATTGATCATATGTTAGATCATAAAGCACATGCAATAAACATATAAGTTAAAAGTGAAAAGCTGGGCACAGTGGCTCATGCCTGTAATCCAGAACTTTGGGAGACTGAGGCAAGTGATTCCCTTGAGTCCTGGAGTTCGAAATAAGCCTGTGCAATGTGGCAAAACCCTGTCTCTACACAAAATGGAAAAATAGAAAAATTAGCCTGGCGTAGTGGCATGTGCCTATACTCCCAGCTACCGAGAGGCTAAGGTAAAAGGATAACTTGAGCCCGGAAGGTCAAGGCTGCAGTGAGCTGTGATCACACCCCTGCCTGAGTGACAGAGTGAGACCCTATCTCAAAAAAAAAAAAAGAAAAAGAAAAAGAAAAAAAATACTATGAACTGGACATTTAAAAAACTTTTTGATCAAAGAGGAAAATTTAAACGGAAATTGTGGAATATCTAGAAAATAACAATAATGAAAATACCATTATATTTGTTGGTTATAGCTAAAATGGTGTTCAAGAAAAAATTCATAGAATTACATAAAATATTTAGAATCATAGAGTTATATTAATAGATATGAAGGGATGAAAGTGAGTTAAGCACCCAATTCAAGAAATTAGAAAAAAGAAAGAAACTGAAAGAAAGCAAAAGGAAAGAAGATTCAAATGGAAATAATTTTAAAAACAGAAAAATGGAAGAACTCATAAATTCTTAAGAGTTGGTTGCTTGGATGAAAAATAGCTGTTGATTAAAGAAGCTCATTAGCTAACCTATGTAAGTGGGAAAAGAGCAGGAACAAGCATCCAGATGCAGCGGAATCAAGAATCACAAGGGTTTTTTGTTGTTTTTGCTCAACTAAGTGCAAAAGAAATGGAAAATTTGGATGGCATATAAATGTAATTTACTAAAACTGATTCCCATGGAGATTGTCTAAATAGACTAATGACCATGGGGTGAAAAGTAATAGGAAAAGTTCTCAGAGATACAGTCCCTCAGAAACACCAGGCTCAGATTGATAGGGAATGTCCTCAAACCTTTAAAAAACATATATTTCCATTATTGTTTAAATTGTTACAAAGCACAGAGAGAGAAAGGGGCCAGGTTATTTTTATGAAACAAGTATAATATTGACACTGACACCTGACAGTAAACACACAGAAAGAGAGAACTGCAGACTCTAATGTTCTCCACCTGTGAATATTGATGCAAAAAATTTTACATAGAAGATCAGGAAACAAAATCTAGCAGCATATTGAAAGACCAATATACCATAGACCAACTGAAGTTTAGTAGAAGTATAGGGATAGTTCAATATTGGGATATCTATTAATATAATTTTATATATATGTGAAATCTAAAATACATGAAACTTGTGCCATCCTCTGTATAGATGTTGAAGAGACATCTGTTAACATTCAACATCTATTCTTGATTCTTTTAAAATGAACCCTCTTAAGAAAAAAATGGATAATTTCCTACACCATTGAAATGTATTTATTTCAACTCCAAACAGCATCTTGATTAAAGAAAAAAACTCTAATAGCATTCCTGTTAAAGTTAGGAACAAGACAAGGACAAGACTATCATAATTTAACTGTGTTTGGAGATACCAGCCAACAGAATTAGAAGTAGAAAATAGAAATATAGCAAAATAGAAGGATAAAAATGGAAAGGAGGGGGTAAATTATTACTTGCTGATGATATTATTTTATAACTGGTAATCCAAGAGAATAAACTAAGCAGCATTAAGCATTAAGATAATTCTGGAAGGTAGATAGGTACAAAATTAATGTGCAGAACTTAGTAGTGTTCCTATATAGAAATACATGTTTATTAAAAGATATAATGAAAAAAATACACTGTGTAAGAGCAACAAAAAGAAAAAATATAGAAATAAATCTAACAGGAAGAATATAAGGCATATAAAAGGGCATTCCTTTCTTTTTTTTTTTTTTTTGAGATGGAGTCTCGCTCCGTTGCCCACGCTGGAGTGCAGTGGCATGATCTCGGCTCACTGCAACCTCTGCCTCCCATGTTCAAGCGATTCTTCTGCCTCAGCCTCCCGAGTAGCTGGGATTACAGGCACCCACCACCACGCCTGGCTGATTTTTTGTATTTTTAGTAGAGACGGGGTTTCACTGTATTAGCCAGGATGGTCTCGATCTCCTGACCTCATGATGCGTCCGCCCCAGCCTTCCAAAGTGCTGGGATTACAGGCGTGAGCCACTGCGCCTGGCCTAAAGGGGTATTTCATTTCATCTAAATTATCAGATATATTGGCGTGAAGTTGTTCGTAACATTCCCATATCCTTTTTTTTGAACAGCTTTATTGAGATGAAATTCACATGTCATAAAATCCACCCATTTTAAGTGTATAATTAATTGGCTTTTAGTATATTCCGGGTTGTGTGACCATCACCATGATCTAATTTTAGAACATTTTCATCACCCACAAACGAAACCTTACACCCATGAGTCACTTTCCATTTACTTCTCCCCTTGTCAAAAATCAATTGACCATAGATGTATGGATTTCTGGACTCTCAGTTCTGTTCCCTTCCTGTCTGTATCTGTCCTTATGCCAGAACCACACTGTCTTGGTTACTATAGTTTTGTATATAGTAGTCCGCCTTCTCAGTGATTTTGCCTTCTTTGGTTTCAGTTACCCCTGGTCAACTGAGGTTCAAAAACCTTAAGATACTTTGAGGGAGAGAGCGACCACATTCACATACCTTATTACAATATATTGTTATAATTTTTCTATTTTATTATTATTGTTAATCTTTTACTGTACATAATTTATAAAGTCAGCTTTATCATAGGTATGTTTAGGAAAAAAACAGTATATTTAGGATTTGGTAGTATCCATTGTTTCAGGCATCCGCTGGGGGACTCGGTATGTATCCCCCATGGATAAGATAGATTACTGTACTTTTGAAATAAGGACGAGTAAGTCCTCTGACTTTGTTGTTTTTAAGATGATTTTTGTCTCTTCTGGGTCTCTTGCATTCCCGTATGAAATTTAGGATCATCATATCCGTGTCTGCAAAAAAAGACAAAAAAAAAAAAACCAAAAAAACCAACCAGTTGGGATTTTGATAGGCATCTACAAATCTTTCCTTTCCTTTTTTCCTCCTCCTTTTTCTCCTCCTCTCCCCTTTCCTCCCTCTTCTTCCTTCTCCTCCCCTCCTCCTCCTCCTCCCCTCTCCTCTTTCCTTTTATCCCCTCTCCCCTCCTCTCCCCTCTCCTCTTTCCCCTCTCCTCTTTCTCCTCTCCTCTTTCCCGTCTCCCCTTTCCTTTCCTTCTTTCCTTTCTGTGACAAGGACTCAGTCTGTTGCCTAGGGAAGTATTGCCATTTTAACAATATTGTCTTATGGCCAATGAACATGGGCTGGTTTTCCTTATTTAGATCTTTAGTTTCTTTCCAAGTTTTGTAATTTTTAGTGTGCCTACACTTTTTATTAAATTTTTCCTAATTATTTCATTTTTGATGCTATTGTAGATGGAATTTTCTTTATTTCATATTTGGATTGTTCATTGCTAGTGTATAGAAGTATTTTTGTGTATTGATCGTGTACCTGCAATCTTGCTGAATTCATTTATTAGTTCTAATAGTTTCTTAGTGGATTTCTTAGGATTTTCTCTATATAAGATCATGTCATCTTACAAATAGAAATAGTATTCCTTCTACTCCAATCTGGATACCTTTTATTTCTTTTTCTTTCATAATTACTCTGACTAAAACTTTTGGTACAATGTCAAATAGAAGAGGTGAGAACAGACACCCTTTCCTTGTTCCTGATCTTAGGGGTAAAGCGTTCAGTCTTTCACCATTAAGTATGATATTAGCTGTGAGTTTTTCATAGATTCTCTTTATCAGATTGAGAAAGTTTTCTTCTATTCCTAGTTTTTTGAGTGTTTTTAACTCATGAAAGGGTGTTGGAGTGTGTCAAATGTTTTTCTTCTGTCTGTTTAGATAATCATGTGGCTTTTTTTTAAACTTAAGTATTCTATTGCGACATATCACATTATATGATTTTTCAGATGTTAAACCATGCTTACATTCCTAGGATAAATCTTATTTGGTCATAGTATATAATTTTATATTTTGCTGGATTTGGTTTGCTGATATTTTATTGAGGAATTTTGCATCTGTATTCATAAGGGATATTGGTCTATAGTTTTTGTTGTGACATTTTATCTAGTTTTGATGTCAGAGTAATGCCTCATAGAATGAGTTGAGAAGTGTCTCCTCTTTTTTTTGGAAGTGTTTGTGAAGGATTTGTATGAATTCCTCTTGAAATGTTTGCTGGAATTCACCAGTGAAGCCATTGAGCCTGGTGTTTTCTTTGTGGGATGTTTTAAAATTACAGATTCAATCTCTTTATTTATTATAGGCCTATTCAGATTTTCAGTTTTTTCTTGAGTTATTGTGCATAGTTTGTGTCTTTCTAGGAATTTTTCAATTTTATATAAGTTATCCAATTTGTTGGTATCCAGTTATTTATAGCATTCACTTATAGTTATTTTTTATTTCTAAATGGTTGGTGGTGATGGCCCCTCTTTCATTTCTGATTTTAGTAATTTGAGTATTCTGTTTTCTTGGTCTAGCTAAGGGCTTGTCACTGTTGTTGCTGATCCTTATTATCCTGTTAATGTTGGTAGGATCTGTACTAATGTCCCTTCTTTCTTTCCTGATATTGGTAATTTGTATCTTCCTTTTTTAACATTCGTGTGTATGATATGTATGTGTGTGTGTGCTTATAGATGTATACATATATGTAATATGTATGTATATATACATGTATGCATACATGCATAGACACACACAATGGATGGTATGTAATAGAAAGTCTTTGAAGGAATATACCAGGAATTTGGTAACATTGGTGGCTTCTGGAGAGGGGAATTGAGTGGCAGAGGAGGACAAGTGAGAGGGAAACTTCACTGATACTTTTTGCTACATTTTGATTTTGTACCATGTGACTATATGACTTATTTTTTTTTAATCAAATTAAAGAAAAACAAAGGTGAGGAGCCACAGAAGACAATGTCTGTGTTAGATGCCCTACATCTGCTTTCTGAGGTTCTTGACTTTGGTTTATGGTCATCTTCTCCTCCTCACTGTTTCTCCCTTTCTCCTTCTGGATCCTTCTGAAGCAATCCAGTCAAGGATCTGAGAGGGATTTTAGGGTGAAAGGTTCTGATCCTGCTTCACTGTCTGTGGATGAGAAAATGTTTTTCTCTCTGGTCCTCTGCAGAGCGACCTGCGGGTTGGGCTGAGTCTGTCCTTGAGGAAGATGCATCGGAGCTTGAGCCTGCCTTCTCCAGGTAACCTTCTCCAGTTCTCTTCTGTTTTCAATCCAGCCCTTGCCTAGGTGTAAGAGAGAGATTCCCATTGGTTGTCCTGAGGTTGACTTGGGGGAGCACTTTTTGATAAGCTCTTTTTCCCCTAATATCTGCTAAACTTATAGAGGGTTATGTAGGTATGCAGAAGCCAGAGGTGACCCACCCATGTTACTGCAGGTGAAAAGGCTATGTACTCTTTCCTCAGAGGGTAAAGCCTCACAGAAGAGGCCTGGGCCCCAGACAGGGGTACATTGGGGATACTTTACCAGGTAACAAGCAGATAGTGGGGGATTAGGAGTGTTAGGGAGTCTCAGTACAAATGTGTGTTTCTAGGCTAATTTTAGCTAAGACTGCCAGCCCCTTCTTAGCATGGGGAGGAATTGGCTGAGATTGAGTCATCTGAGATCATCCTTTTAAAAAATCTTCATAAAACCCATAGAAAAAGTGATCTAGGGAAAATTTAGTAATTTTTGTTAACTAATGTTTCCCCCTTCATCCCTGTAGGACTGTAGGTACCATCCAGCACTGCCTCCACCTGACGTCAGTATATACCCACTTCCTGCCCCAGCGTGGCCGCCCAGAGGTCACTACAATGCCATTGGGTCTTGGAATGACAGTAGATTACATCTTCTTCTCAGCTGAGTCCTGTGAGAATGGGAACAGAACTGGTAAGCCTGATGGATCCTGGGTTCCTCCACCCCCAGGTCCCTGGGAACAGCTAATGGTAGGTCAGGCATTTGGTAGCATGTCTTCAGCTGCTGGGATTTAACCAGCAAAGGAGCAGATTTCATACCTCCCTTGCACTGGTCATCCTTATCATTCTCCCCATAGGCCACTTGCCTGCCTTGTCTCTTTTTACCCTTGCAGCATTAAAGAGAGGAGGGTAGGACAGTCACTCCCAATCCCCATTTTAGAGGTAAAAATAGAGATCTAGGAATTGGTTGAGTTTGTTTAATGACAGCCACTGAATGAGGGACTTGGTTAGGTAAGAGACCTTATTTTCTGTCTCCTCTCCCCATACCAGTGGGCACAGTATAGCAATCTCCCAGCCCCATGCCTGTATTGTGTAAAGAATGTTTCTTTTTGGCCAGGCATGTGTATTACTGTTATGGCCAGGCACGTGTATTACTGGTTCACACCGGTAATCCCAGCACTCTGGGAGGCCGAGGTGGGTAGATCACTTGAGGTTAGGAGTGAGACCAGCCTGGCCACATGATGAAACCCCGTCTCTACTAAAAATACAAAAAATTAGCCGGGTGTGGTGACGGTGTCTGTAATCCCAGCTGCTTGGGAGGCTGAGGCAGGAGAATCGCTTGAACTCGGGAGGCAGAGGTTACAGTGAGCCGAGATCGTGCCACTGCACTCCAGCCTGGGCAACAAGCGTAAAACTCCGTCTTAAAAAAAAAAAAAAAAAAAATTAGCCAGGCATGGTGGCGGGTACCTATAATCCCAGCTACTCAGGAGGCTGAGGCAGGAGAATCGCTTGAACCCGGGGGTCAGAGGTTGCAGTGAGCTGAGATTGCGCCACTGCACTCCAGCCTGGACAACGAAGTAAGACTCCATCTAAAAAAAAAAAAAAAAAAATCAGATTTTATATAGAAAAGCTGGATCTCTAGCTTCTCTTGGAAAATCAAAAGATCTTATAATGGTGGGCTCTCCAGCTTGCCCCAGTTCCCCGGAACTCACCTGTCTTTATTCGTTGATGATATTATGGAGTATCTCTGAGAAAATGGGGCCTCCTCAGCCAGATGCTGCAAGAGGAGGTGAGGGGCAGTGGGCAGCCAAGGGGATGCAGCCTGCAGAAGGCGTTCCCAAAGGACTCTGCCACTGCCTGCCCATGCAGTGTGGCTGCGGCTGCTTTTACCCATTGGCTTCTGCTTTGTGCCCCAGATCACAGGCTGTATCGAGATGGAACTCTCAAGCTCCTGGGTCGTCTCTCCCTTCTCTCTGAAGAGATACTCTGGGCTGCCAATGGCTTACCCAACCCCTTCTGCTCTTCAGACCACCTCTGCCTGCTAGCCAGCTTCGGGATGGAAGTCACCGCCCCATGACAGGGCTCCCAGGGGAAGAGAGCTTCTCTTCCAGAAGAGCTCACTGGATCAGAGACTGTGGAAAAATCCCATGCATCTAGAAACTTAGATCCAAGAAACTTACATCCCCTCCCTTCCCCCTCCTCGTTCCCTTTTTCCCACGGTTAGACTTTCTCCAGGCCTGGCTGCGTTCTCTGCCTGTGGTCCTTGCCCCACCCCAGCCTCTTCCTAATCCTGTGCCACACACTCAGTGGCCCTGGGAGAGGCAGAAGGGGGGCTCCCCCTTCCTTCCATGTATCCAGCGCTCCCCCTTGATTTTTAATTACCAGGGTTATGGGAGTTCTTGATTTCATTGGTTATTTGCTTTCAGGCCGTTTCTTGATGTACCTTCTGACCTGACCTTTTCCCTGCCTTCAGGACTTCTGGGCCCAGCCCTCTTGCCAGGCATGCATATGTGAGATATGCATATCATGTATGTGTCCTCTTGGGGTGAGACTTCTGCACAGCCATGCCTGCCTCTGACCAGTCCACTTTTCATGTTGGGGCTGTAGGCCTGGGGCAGGTTCAGAGTCTACCCAAGTACCTATGTATGAGCAGGCAGCAGCAGGGCATGGCCCCATCTCTCCTTTTAGCCTCTGTGTTTCATTAGGCATTCATCCTGCCAACCAGGGCAGGCCCGGCGTCTGGGCTCTGGGAACAAATGGGGCCCACATCCTGGAGTGGCAAATTTTGGGGGATGCGCTACCTGTCCCAGCTGGCCCTGTGCCTCCAACCCAGAGCTCCCCACAGACCTGGTGTAATTTCACAAGGGCCATCCCTTTCCCCAGGCTTCCCTGAGGGAGGCGGAAGTTTGAACCCTTATGTGGGGTTCATTGGGCTAGGGTAGTGGTATGAGGTTTAAAACTATTTAAGGATTAGGAGGAGAAAGAGTCTTCAGGAAACTCTTGTTTCACTGGACTCTGCAGCCTGCAGAACTGGGGCAAGGGTAGGAGTTCCAGTAGGGGAAGGAGCAGGTAGACTCTTCAGCTGCCTCAGCTGGGACTGAAGACCTAAGCTGATTCTCTTTCCTCTCCACTCCTAAGAAGCAATTTTCTGTTCCTCTCCTTCCACCACTTTTTACTTTCTGCTATCTCCCATCTCCCGCTTCCCTTCCATTTCCTTTCTAGAAAACCCTGGTATTTAGCTCAGGCCAAACTGCCTCAGCAGAAAGGTGGCCTTGGACAAAACTGGTCCAAGAATTTGAAGTGGCAGTACTTGCGGATTGGCTCTGTCCAGCAAGGCCTCAGCTGCTTGTTGCGTCTGCTTTCCCTCCCCTAACAGAAGGGTACCCTGGCTTATTCAGGGGACTCCTTAGTCCACACTGTGTCACCTGCATGCCTTAATCTTTCATTGCTGGGGTGTGGCCTTGGGAGATCCTGGGCCAGCCCCTCCACACATCTCCCTAAGTCAGAGTGGCTGCTGGCCCTGGTAGATTTGACTTGCTCTTGCCTCACTCGACCTCCAAAGTGGGACTGAAGACAGTGGTCAAGAGACTTGAGTTCGGGACAGTAAGCCAGGGGTTAAGGTTCTTTCCTTTTTTTGAAAGCCAAAGACCCAGTTTGCATTGTGCTGCTGCATTCATGGTTAGAAGCTTTCCATGCCTAGGTTCTAGGGAATTTATTTTTCTATGTGTATATATTTTCAAACTTTGTTTCCTGGGTACTGGGCATGTGCCTGTCTGAGCCCCAGGTCTGTCTACACCCCACCATTCATTCTGTCTGTCTGTTCCCTGGACACTGCCTAAAAGGGTCTCAAGACAGTGCCCTGTGGGTTCCTAGGACTAGGGCCCATCACTGTTCTCTTCTGCTGGGAAATGCAGCTTTAAAATGGCTAACCACAGCAGAGGGCAGATGCTTGATAGATTATCTTTTCCTTGCTTTCTTGTTTCTGTTTTGAAAGTGAAATGGGGTTTTAAATTGTTATTTAAACTCTTTTTCCAAATAAAGGTTTACCTTTTTTCCCCCCAATGTTGTTCATTTTATTAGGATCCTGAAGGGATTAGGTCCTTGAGAGAGGGCCTGAAGAATGAGGTGGGCAGAGGAAGAGACTAAGGAGCTTTTGATCTTGGGGTGGGGTCTCAAGACATGAATCTAGATTGAGAAATGTGTTGTAAGATCTCCCTCTATTAGCTGAGGTAAATTCCCACTGCTGTGAGGCCTGGGAGGAACAGGGCTTGAGTGAAGCCTCCTGCCTTGACACTGCTGGGGTACAGCTTTCTTCTGTCCTTCCCAAGTGAGAGAATGATTCTTTGGACTGCTTTTCATTCTTCCTCCATCTGCTCCCCCCATGCCTCCTCCTAGTATCTTCTGCACTTCAGGAGGGTCTGTGCAAAGTGGGATAAGATGTGTGTTTTCCTGATTAAAGCTATGGCAGCTGCATGAGACATGATGCGGGTGGCACATGCCTCTTGCTGAGCATCTATTTCTGATCTCTTTTGCATTCTGGAGCCAGGGCTGAGCAGTGGGCCATCTGTCGCTGGAAAAATGTCTCTTCCTTCCTAGGCCTACCTCTGTTGGTGCTTTTGTCTTCCAACCTCCCTATGTAGTAAGACCAGCCAAGCCCACATGCCCACTGGGAGCCCTGAAACCAGATCTGGTTTTCTGTCTTACCTGAACAGGTTCCCAGAACCCACACCAGGCCTCTGAATCAGTCTCTGAGAATCTGATTGATTTAAAGCCACTTGGTTGCTTCCATTGCACTACCTGGGTTGCGATCCCCTCAATTGATTTAGTAAAAAGAAAACTTAGCGGCCGGGTGCGGTGGCTCACACCTGTAATCCCAGCACTTTGGGAGGCTGAGGCGGGTGGATCACCTGAGGTCGAGAGTTCCAGACCAGCCTGACCAACATGAAGAAATCCCGTCTCTACTAAAAATACAAAATTAGCCGGGCGTGATGGCGCATGCCTGTAATCCCAGCTACTTGGAGGCTGAGGCAGGAGAATTGCTTGAACCTGGGAAGCGGAGGTTGTGGTGAGCCGAGATCATGCCATTGCACTCCAGCCTGGACAACAAGAGTGAAACTCCATCTCAAAAAAAAAAAAAGAAAAGAAAAGAAAAGAAAGAAAACTCAGCTAGGAATTAGAAACATCATTTGTCCTCTTGGCCTGTTCAGCTGGTGACTGTAGGTAAGTTACTTAACCTCTCTGTATTTCAGTTCACATTCCTTGGTGAAATAGAAATTAAAGTTAATAATCACTTCTACTTGTGAAGAATTTTCAGATCTGAAATTGCTTTGTTTGGGCTTTGGCAAGAAAAAGGTGCTAAGAATTCCAGAGAATTATTGGTAGGAGTTGGGAGTAGATCGTTACCCCAGCCAGGCTGGACAGTTGGGCCCATTGGCTAGGAAGTATTTGAAAGCCCTAAGCTTTGAGGTATATCCCCAAGAACCTCTTCCTGGCAGGGAGGGTTCCTCCTAGTTGCCTCAGTCAGTTAGCATCTCCACAGCACTTCTGTTAAGTTTGCACAGTACTTCCACGTCAGCTAGCAAAGACAGTGGCACTGTGTGGTGGCAGTTTAGGTGGTGTTCAGATTCTACCTTTACACCTGAGGAAACAGAAATCCCAGAGATAGAATTTGAGAATCTCCTTTGGTTTATTTCTTACCACCCCAAGTTTCTCACAAGCCTTTCCAGGATCAGGCAAGACAGGTTATCTTGGAAGGCAGAGGCTGGTGGTGGGGGCCTGGGGCTGGGGGAGCTCAGAGGCAGCTTTTAACTGGAGACCAAGAAGGGAAATGGCCAGTCAGGAGGCTGCTGCTTTTTTTGTTTTGTTTTTCTCTCCAGTTCCTGCCCTGTTGTAGCTACTAACTAGAGGAATGTTCTGGTTGTTTTGTTTTTCCTTTTTAAAATTGACATGTGATAGTTGTACATATTTTGGGGCTGCATATGGTATTTTGATACATGCGTACAAAGTGTAATGACCAGTCAGGATATTTAAGGACATTTATCACCTCAAGCATTTATCTTTTCCTTGTGCTGGGAACATTCCAATTCTTCTAGCTATTTTGAAATATACAATAAATTGTTAACTATAGTCTCCCTACTGTACTATCAAATACTAGAACTTAGTCCTCACCATATTTTTGTACCATCCACCTGCTCTTCATTCTCCTCCCCTGCTTTTCCCAGCTTCTGGTAACCCCATTCCGCCCTCTATTGGAGGGTTGTGTTTTGATTGGCTGCGAAATGCACAGTGTGGCTTCTCTTCTCCCAGGAGTGGGAGGGGCCACCTCTAGGGTCCACCAGGGGGAGCTGCCCTGCAGCCCTGGGCTCCCATCACTCTGGTCCATCCCCTCTCCTCTCCCTCCTGAGCAAATGTGCTAGACAAGACTGTTCCAGGTATGGGCCAGCCAGATGGCAGCATGGTGGTGAGGGTGCAGATCTGCTGGAAGCAAGAGAATGTGGACTTCATGGGTTGTGGAGGGAACTCTGCACTTCTGTCCCATCCCCAGTCAGCTCCTATGACCCTAAGGCCTGAAGCCTCAGCTCGCTGTGGAGAGAACAGAGCCTACACTTAAAATTCTTGGAGGTTTTGTGCTTCCAACAACCAAGTCCTTTCAGGCTCAGGGTTGGAAAAAGTTTGTATATCTGTGTGCACATTGTCATTTGGACGGGGCTCAGAGAGGTGACCTGCCAGCTGACCTGACGTGGCCTCTCCTCATCTTCTGCCAGGCCTCAACAGCTGGTCCCCTCACCTTGCTGGCAGACACTAAGGGTTACAGGCAGCCTGCTTCTGGGCCATTCTGCTTGGTTCTTGGTATGACTGCTTCCTGTCACTACCTCCACGGTAGTGGTCCAAATGCCAGCTCCTGGTAAATGGGGCAGCAGAGCTTCAACCCCTTCATCGTCAGGCCTCTGAGAAGGGCCACCTGCACCCAAAGGTCTAACCCAGTTAGTCAGGTGCCTAAATTAGGCAGGTGCGTGCTGTGAGCCTGAGGAATGGGACAGCAGGAAATGAGGTAACCCCTTCCACCCCCAAGCAGGTCGGGTTCTGATCCTCCAGGAGTCTGCAATGACATTTCCTTCTGCTTTCTAAGAAAATGGCCAGTGTCCACAAAGAGCCTACCTGACTCATTACGTAGATTCTCACCCCAGCACTTACTTACCCAGCCCCTCATTTGTACAAGAGCAGGCCAGGGGCCCCACTGTGTATGAACCTGTCTTGTTGAAGCCTGAGGCCCTTTACTTGGTATCATATCAGCTGGACTTAAATATGAAAATTACAACACTGCGTCTATGAAAGGGTGTGCAATGCAAGGTATTCATAAATTCTGGTTACTTTGAAGTGCTTTTTTTGGGTAATGCTTTAGCTGGATTTAAAGGAGCCTGTAACAAAACTGCCTCCGTTTACTGGTGTACAGTCCCAGATGTCTATGGATTCCTGCGGGTCACCTCTCCTTTTCCTGCTGCCATGCCTCCTCCTCCCCTGGTCACTACCACACCACTGAAAATGAGGGGGTCTTGGCGGTGCGAAGCTACACTTCTAGCCACGATCTTGTGGGGACTGGCTGGGATGAAAAGTAAGAAATACACTGTTTCCTCTCTCACAGGTCTGGGTTTTACCCTTAAGCTGAATGAAAGGAGAGCTGAGACAAGGGCAGGAAGGGTTATGGGTGAAATATGCTGTGAAATCCAAAAGATATTTTCTGTGCAAGTCTGGTTTCAACTGTTTGGGCTTGTCTGAAAGTGTGGGAAGAGGTCCAGAGCTGGAGGGACAACAGAGAGGAAGAGTGGGGGGTGACGGATGGGACCCGAAGTGTTTTCCACCCCATGGGTTCTGGATGTCAAGTGATGAGAAGGTTGCTACGGTTTCCTGAGCTACACTCATCTCCCAGGAGAACATGCCCCATTTCTCCTTTGCTCCTGATGGACTGCTGTGGACTGAGACTGGAAGAGCAGGGTCCTGGAATACATCCTGGGTGCTAACTTGAGCCTCTGGAGGCCAGGCCCACTGTGTGAAGAGGGGGAAAGCACTGCTCACAGATCAGGGTTAACAAGGCCTGAGGGGCTTCAGCAGGCTGAGGAAGTCTGGAACCCCAGAAGTTTCATCATGACTGCAGGCGCTGGGAGGTTTCCTGTTCCCTGGCTTCAGGCTCACCTCAGGTCAGGCTCTTCCCAGAGCCAATGGGGCTAATGCCGCTGGGCTGGGGGAGGGCTCGGGCCCCAGCTCCAAAGGAAAGGAGACAAGGCTTACGTGTTGTGGTTTCTGCCCAGCCTACACAGCAGGAGCTGGGGAGACTTTATTCGTTTCGGGGAAAGTGACAACAGGAATGAGATGAAGTGTGAAAGTGAAAGGAAGGGGCAATACTGAGATGAGAACAGCCTGAACAAAGTCTAGTACAACACTGCAGCCATCCAGAGCTTGAGGGAGCGGGGAGGTCCATCACCACCAGGCCCTGTGGGCCAAGCACACCCATGTTTCTTCTCTCTTGTCAGATTTGATGAAAAGGAAACTTGGGACTCCGGAGGACCAAGATGGAGCGAGACGGTCAATACTGATGGACTTGCAGCTAGCACCATGGCAGCCCTGCCTGGTCTAAGGAAGCTGGCAGGAGGCGATGGTACCTGGCGGGGGCAGACTGCCCACCTCCCCACTCCTTCAGAGGACTGTTTCCTGCCCTTCACACCATCATCATGTTGGGCCCTGCATGTATGTTCCTGCACTTGGAGCGAGCCCAGGGACACAGGGCAGACACTGGGCTCACAGATGTTGCTGCAGCTGAGCCAGAAAACATTCCAGGCAGGAAAAGCAGGTGCACACATTCACACAGGCCTCTGGTCACTCGACCAGCCAGAATGAGACGGACTCCTTGACCTGGGAAGTCAAGTCCCAGTGGGAAGGGCTGGAAATCACACGTGGTCAACTTCTTGGCTCTCTCTGCTCCCCAAACCCTGGCCCTAGGCTTGCTTTATCATCACATCCCAAGGCCAGAGGGCTGCTGCTGTCCCCATCTTGGCCCTGCTAGAAGAGGGATAGGGGTGGCTGGCATGATGGGTGAGGGGAACATGAGAATATGCAGAGGCCTTGGAGGAAGAGGACTGGCAGTTATGACAGGAAGGCTCTCTATACCTGGCTCCCCAGTGTTCTGCCCCTGGCACTGAGCATGAGGAGCCAGGCTTTGGGGAGACTTTGCAATCACCCCCCCAACCTGGTCCATTTTCCACAGGTAGCTTTCTTGAACTCACCTTGACCCCTCCTCAGCCAGCAGCCCCCACCTCCAGGGGCAAAGGAGCTGAAAGACAGTCCTGAACTGGGGGGAGCTGGGATCACATCAGCCAGGCCCTGTCCCTCACAGGAAGTGAGATGAGGTGATACCATGGATGGTGACTAAGGCCCCAAAGTCCCTGCCTCTCTGCCTCCCCAGAAACCTCACAGCCAGGCCAGCCCCCAGAGCAGAGCCTGTGTAAACATGCCCAGGAGGGGAGGAGGGGTTGCTACATATGAGAAACAGTTAAAAATAAATTTAAAAAGCACCACTATGTCCTGTGCTGGTCTCCACAGCCCCGAAGTCTCAGCTCAGGAAGGGTGAGTGCTGGGGGATTATCAGCTGGGGCTCGGCTCCCTCCCTTGCAGACAGCAAGCAGGTAAGGGCTTCATTTTGCTGTTTTCTCCATGGAGGGCTCTGGGAAAGGATCCTGCAAGTTGGAACCTCCTAAGACTCCAGAACCAGGAGCGGCTCCCTCTCATATCTACTCCCCTCAAACCCTGTCATTCCCGGGAAGCTCCCAGAGGCAGCTGAGGCCACGCCCCTGCTCCTGAGCGGCAGCATCCAGACCCGGAAAGGACCTAGTTTCAGCCTGGCACCTCCCAAGGTGAGCCATCTCTTCTTAGGCATAGTAGGAACATGGAGACCACACTACCCCCACTCCCTGAAAGCTGGGATGGGATGGTGAGTCAAGGGTCACCATGCCCCTATTAGTCTGGCTGGAGTTAGGTTAGGCATCCTCCCAGGGCTCATTGACCCCAGGGGGAACTTGGGGAGGCAAGGGACTGACCAGCTGGCCTCCCAGGGTGCCTCTGGCCAGGCCATGCTGGATCTGGCTCTGGGTCAAGCGCTGCTGGTTTGAAGAGCTGCCAGCCTGTGGCGCCTTCCCTGACAGGCACTCTCATCAGCAAAGGCATCCCTGGTTCTGCCTTCCCTTCCTCTTTGCTTCAAAGGCACCATCCGTCTCCCTGGCAGGCCAAGAGCTACACTGTCTGTACTCCATGCGCCACCCCCGCTGGTGACCCAGCAACTGCAAAGGGCCTCTGGTTTGTCCCGCTCTGGGAGGAGACTCAGTGGCTTTTCCTCCTCCTCAGCTGCAAGGATCCTACCCCAGCCCAGCCCAGCTCTGAGAAACAGGACTTTGCTACAGCCCGCCTCAAAGCATCTTGGTGGACTTCTCCCCAGCACGAGCTCTCTCTACTTCAGGGATTGCAAACTGGCATCCTCTTTTGCCAGTATTGGGTTTTTAAGTTTTTTTTAAGTGATCACCAGCATTTAAAAATCCTATTTCACATAAAAAGTCAGAATTCTGGCCTCTGACAAAGCAGACAATCTGGCAACACAGGGCCGGCACTGTAAGAACAGCTGAGCAGCTGTGGCCCCTTTAACAGGGTGTGCCCTCTTCAGGTAGCCATAGTCCCCACACAGCCCTTCAGGCCTCCTTCTCACCGTTTGCTCGTCATTTGAGCTTACAACCCTAGTTCTGCTCTTCCTTGTGTAGCCCCCCAGCCCTTCTGCAGCCTTACTGACAGCTGTCCCTGGCAGACTTACAGCCTCTCAGTAAAACAAAACCTTAATGGTCATCTCATCCGTTTACCCTTCCACAATCTGAATCCTTTCTACCTTTCTACCGCCTCCTGACAAACAGCCATCTCGTCTCTGCTGTAGGTAACCCATTACTCCTCAAGCAGCCTGATCCTGAACTCTCCCCCACATCCCTTTCTCACTTGCATCCCCCAGTTCCCAGCTGTCCCTCAGTGGCTGCACTGCACCCTTTACCTGCACCTCCTTGTTGCTTGAGCCTCCAGAACCTACCCCTGGCTCTGCCAACCTCTCCGCATCCTCTCACTTTCCCACTGGGTATCTCATGCTGACGGGCAGGCTGGGGACAACCCCAGGTGCCTAGGTTCTTCCCTGCCAGGGCCCTGATGCCCTGCCACAAGTGACTGGCCCAGCCATCATTGCAACCCCAAGCCAAGATGGGCTGTTAAAGAATGGAAGGCAGGCCTGGGGCAGAAGCATCCTAGTCTGGTCTTGATTTCCCCAGCAAGGGCTCCTGGCACTGCTGGCGGAGAGACCCAGGCCCAAGCATCCCGCCCCATCACCCCATGTCCAGCCACAGCTCCTGGACTGGCACCCAGGGTTTGCTCAACTCCCACAGCCATGCTGGCCTCAGTGCCATTCTGGGTCCTCCGCCAAGCCCAGACCCTCCGCAGGGAGCCTGTGGGCTAGAGCAACAGGCAGAGCTGGGACTGAGCAAGTAGACGCAGTTAGGGCCTGGGAACTTTTTGCCCAGAGGTCCTTCCCTGGGCTCGCTCTCATATCACCCCTCCTCTGCCCACACAGCACTGCCCATGGGGGCCTCAAGGGCCTGAAGGCTCTCCTGAGCCACGAGCTCATGCTCTTGGGGCAGATGTGGCCTGTGCCAAGCTCCTGGTTAATGGGCTACACAGACCTTTCTCAGAAGGACTCCTACCCTGCTTCCCTTTCCCTGGGTCAAGATTCTGCCAGGGCAGGCAGAACTGGAGAAACATCTCCACCCCACCCCCACCCCCCATCACAGGCCTGGTAAGGCTGGGAGATTTCCCACTGATAAGATGCACCCAACTCCCAGAGAGAAGCCAGGGGCAGAGGCACCAGCAGAACCAGCAGTTTCCCTCACCTGGCCCCATGACACATGGATTTGTTAAGCACTGGCCTTCCCACCATCAGCAGATCCATTTGGACTAAGTTTTCCCCAAATACCTTAAACTTCAGTTGTAGAGTTAAAAACTCCAAATAAAATACTAACGGCCTCTAGGCCCAAAGTTAGGGGGCTTGGCTCAGTGGGAGCGAGAGCAGCTTGGGGGGCTGAGCTGGAACACACTCTTCCTGCAGCCTCTTGCCCTGCCTTGTCACCAGCCCCGCCTTCCCCATGCATAAGGCTGGTTCCAGCAGGTGGATCCTGGCCCCCAAGAGTGGGTGGGGCCTGGGGTGCTGGCATCCGCCTCAGACCCGGATCTGGTACCCGTTAAGGTCTGGCATGGCTTTGGGCTCGGAAGTCTTCTTGTCACCCGAGGGCCTGTGGGAGGAAGAGAGCAGAGCGGGAGGAGAGTGAGTGGTCTGTTAGGGAGATGGAGTTGGGGAGCCAGCAGCGGCTGCCTGGTGGCTTCCCCGCCACATTCTCCAAGTGGCCCTCCAACGCACAGCACAGTGCGTATGGAAGTGTGTTTTTGGACACCCTGGCCCGCCTGTGCTGTCTGAATGTGGCCCCGGCTCGCTCTCACAGGCTTTCTCGCTGCTGGAGGCTGGCTAATCTGGCTGCAGTTGGTAGGTAACAGCTTAAAGTATAAATCTGTCTGAGGGGAATCTGTCATCTACAAAAGCCTCTTAGATAAAAGTCACAGATGATGGATATTTTGGTGCCAGAGGCCTGCTTAGTACCCCACCCCTGAATTCATACCAGAGAGGTGGCTCCTGAATGACAATTATATTTAAAGCAAGAGTCAGAGTGATGTGTAGGAGCTGAAATCAGAGGAGGAGAGCTGGTATTTCAATGGCTTGTTCTTGCTACCTGGATACAGACAAAAACCAGACTCTTGGGTGGGGGGCAAAGTTATGTTCAAAGCCATCTAATATTCACGCCCTCCCCCATGACATTCCTGGGTGGCTCACTGCCTTGCAGGGGCCCCATCCTTTCTACCTTTTCTCTCACATAACCCATGCTCAGACTAGTGGGCTAGCAGAGTTTGGTTTCTCTGGGGAAGTAGAACTGCCTTGCTGTGGGAAATGTCAATACACAAACCTCTAAACCCACCATCCCAAGTCACCTCCCTTGGGTGGGAGCGAAAAAGAGAGAAGGGTGGGAGAGAGATAAAAAAAAAAAGGGACCCACACGATGAGAGGAAAGGAAAAAAACCCTCTTTGGACCCACCCAGGCGTGGTCCCTCTCTCACCGTCTTTCACTGCGGCTGTTCCTGCGGTGGGGGCTGGACTGGGCCCGCTGCGGGGAAGAAACATCCTTCTTCCGGTCCTTGGTGGGAGAGGGAGGGCCCGTCCCTTTGCCAATCTAGGTGCAGAGGAGGAAGCAACAGCATCACTCCAGGACTGCCCTGGAGCCCAACCTCTCCTTCCAGGAGCCACAGGTCCCTGGAGGCTGCCCTGGGGAAGGCCCGGGGAACCTCAAGCATGGCTCTTCCCTGTCTGGATCTTTCCCAACCTATTTCCCAGGCACTAAAGCTGCCAGAGCAGGAGTTCCTCCATGGGGCTGTCCAATCCCTGTGGGCTCCTGAAGGCAGAGTGGAAGTGGGGGAAGTCACTGAGATACCATAATATTGCAAAAAGTCCCCAACAAAGGCCAGGTAAACGTGCCAGTTGTGGGAGCAGCCCACACTGAACTTGGGGCTGAGATCCCACTCACCCCAAGGGTGATGCTGGGTATCTCCAGCCATTGAGAAGTCAGACTGGTAGCTTTAGCTCTGCTTAAGAAAAAAATGAGAAAAACAAAAGAGTCATCCTTTATATGGCACCGTCAGCTTGACTTGAGTTTTCAAAACGCAGGAGTGCTGGAGAGGGGCAAGTAACACAGGTGAGTGTTTAGCACTGAATAGGCTGGGAATCCATCACAGCTCTAAACACTAGGGAACTGTTGGCTCTCACCCTAGATCCAATCTGATGCCTTAAAGACACAATAGCAAACTGAGGAGCAAGAGCCAGGGTGCTGGGGGACCCAGAGCTAGGTGGGGAGCGGCAGCTCAGGGGCAGAAGAGAGCAGCCCCTCTCTAACGCAGGGTTGGCTGCAGCCTGCCTCTGCCCTAGGGGAAGGCACTGTCACCCCAGGAGATCTTGGCCTAGGGCTGGCAATGGCTAGGGCAGCCGTAGCTCTTACAAACCCCTGCCAGGACACCTGCAGGCACCTGCAACACACCTGGGTTCCCCATCACCCCATCAGGAGGCTGAGCTCCAGTCTGATCTGCCTCTCACTGCCAGTGAGCAAGACTCTGGGCTTCCAACCCTGAAAATGGAGCTACCACCTACCGCCCGCTGGCCTCCCAGGGCTGTCAAGAGAAGCAGTGCACTTGGGAGTGCAGAGGTCGGTGGTTGAGGCGGAGGCTCCAGGCTGCCTGGAGGGGCAGTCACAGTGCAGCAGTGACTGAGCTATGGAGATACCCAGCAGGGGGCCCTGGCAGCCCCAGGAGAACCCAGGCAGATGTCAGAATTCTGCCTGCTGAAAGGCTCTAGGGCTCAACAGCTCAGCCCAGCTGTTTTTGGTACAACAGCCCCCAGCCCAACTCCCTATCACCTCCTGCTCAAGTGTGGGTGGGAAGAGGAAGAAGGAACACTGCCCTCATTGTCTTCCACATGGTCTGACTTCCCTTTCTTCTGACCACCTCCTAGTCCTTTAATGGTTGCTAGGGTTGGGGGGCAGAGTCAGGATATGTTACAGGAGGAGTGGGGAGGCTGCCCATCACAGCACCCGATCACACCCTCCAGACAGGCCGTGATTCTCCACCAGTGACCTTGCCATGTGCCCAACACCTACCACCATCCAAACCCAGCCCACCCACCTCCTCCCTCCGCAGCCGTCCTGGTCTGCCCACCCCAGGGGACCACCTGAACAATATCGACCACTAAGCAAGGTCCCAGCACCCCAGTCCCCTGAGAAGCTCCCCAGTCCTCTCAATCCTCACATCGCCTCTGCTGGGGCGGGGGAGGGGGCGAGGGAGGGGGCGAGGGCGTGGAAGGCGGGCAGACCTTGAGCCGCATGTCGCGGGCGTGGCGCTCCAGCTCCTTGCGGAAGTCATCGCGGCCCAGGCGCTCCACGTCCAGCACCGAGTGCTTCCACTCGATCTGCTCCACGCTGTGCGGGTCGTGTGACACGCTCTGGCCCAGCTTCACCTTCTTGAGCACGTGCCAGCAGCGGCCGTAGGCGGCCTCGAAGTCCAGCACGAGCTCGCTGAGCGTGCGGAAGGCGGGCGGCTTGTACATCAGGTCCTCGCGCCGACTCATGCCCAGCGCACCGTAGCGGCCCGCGAAGTTCACCCCCAGCACGATGTGGCGGAAGTAGTTCCCTGAGAAGTAGGTCTTGAAGCTGATGGGGAAGCGCTCCAGGGTGGGCATGCTGTTGGTGAGGTAACTGGCCAGTGCCCCGCTAAGGAAAGAGCCAGGAGAAGCACGGGGCCAGCACACCGGGAGGGACTGGGACCGGGAGCCACGGGGTCCACGCACCGCCAGCCTTGGGGTGCAGACACCAGTCCTGCTCATCTCCATACGCCTGGCGTCTCCTCCTGGTATTCCTGCCATCTAGCATTGAGCCTGGTATCCAGCTGGAGCTCAATAAAGGGAACCTCGAATAGGCACGGGGCTTCCAGGGATTTGTGGCCACCGCTCTGAAGTCCAGCAGGGCTGGTGCCACACTGCAGGGCTTTCCAGAGCCCAGTGGCCCAAGGACGGAAGAGAAGCCTTCCCTCCCCTGCCTCACTCCCTCGCCCTCCATCCCGCACCTTGGCACACACACAGGCCACAGACGCGGCTTCACTCTTCTCTTACCCTCACCCTGTCCTCTCCCCATATCCACATGCAACCCTGCCTGTGGCCCTTCAAATACAATCACGTGTACTACTGAGGCCTGGGAGGTGCCCCCAGCCAGCCCCAGGCCCACTCCCACTTCCTACACCTCTGCCCCACCTGCTCACCTCTCCAGCCCCCGGGGCCTCCCACCTGAGTTTCTCACACCGGCCTTTTCCCCTGCCTGCCAAAGTTGGCTGCTGCTCAGGACTGAAGCTGAGCCTGCGCCACCGTCCACCTCCTCCACGGCACTCTCACCATGACCAGTGTTTACTGCTTCTTTTTCCTTACTTGCTTATTTTGTCTCCTCCACTAGAATGCAAACCTCCCAAGCACAGGGCCCTTGTCTGTCATGTTCTTCAGGGCCCAGCATCAAGCCGGGCACACAACAGTTACTCAGTGAAAGTTCTCGAACAAATGGGTAGAAGGACATGAATGGATAGAAGCGTGTAGCAGACACCATGTCCAGCACTGTGCTGCGTCTCACGGCACCGGCTCGGCCCATTGTCCTAACAACTCTACACACTGCCACTATCCCCCTTTGCAGAGGAGGACTCCCAGGCTCAGAGATGTTAAGGAACTTCCTTGGGGGTCACACAGTGAGTCAGCAGCCCAGCCACGATTCAAGTCCAGGTCAACCTGACCCCAAAGTCTGTGTTGAGACATTATGCCACGGTCCCTCCAGCACTACTCTCATTCCACCAATGCTTACTGAGCCTGACTCCTTGTAAGTGACCAAGGATACAGCGATGAGAAATGCACAGCCCGGCCCTGCAGAGGCTCAGAGTGCGGCGAGGACAAGACGTGAGAACCACGGCGTGTGCTGTGCCTGAGGGAGCTGTGGGGACACTGAGAAGGAGCCCCTCACCCAGATGGGGGCTGTTCCTATTTTATTCCTGCCCACAAGCCACCAGGTGACCCCTGAAAAGCTTTGAGACCATAGGACCCTGCCTGGAGTGACTTCTGTGTGTCCTCCTGGGGAAAAGGACCAGTCTCTCTCCTATGAGGGTGGGAGCCTCCACTTTGGTGTGTGACCCCTGAGGGAGAAGTGAACGTGAAGACATGAAGGAGGCACTGCCTGCAGCCTGAATTTCTCGGGTGGCCTCAGGCTTATCCCAGCAAAGAACCCCATAAACAGGGCAGGGATGTCGGGCTCCAGAAATGGGCCTGCCCTGTTAGCAAATGCCTGCCATAGTGGCGTTCCCTCCGAGACCTCTGCGGGAAGAGAAGGGCACCCGCAGCCTCTTTGTGTGAACTTCAGGCAGGCATGTCTGTGTGGGGGGTGGGGATGGACCCCTGGATCACAGTCCTCCCAGGACCTGCCCTCAGATGGGACTCCTGTTCCATCAGACCCCCTCCCCGTCACCCTCTTGGCTCCCACCTAATCTGTGCTCCTCTGCAGCACTGAGCCCAGTGGGCTGCCTACCCCAGGGGCGCAGGCAAAATGTTTAAAAGCTGGTAAAGAATACGGGCAGGGTGGAAGAGATGAAACAGAATTGGCTTTGAGTTGGTGAAGCTGAGTAACGGGTGCACAGGAGTTCATGATGTTGTTCTAGGTTTCACGTGTATTTATGACATTTTTAATAATAAAATGACTGAGAAGAAAAGGTAGGGCTCAGGCATTGACCAGTTAGGATGGAGAACCAGCCATAAACACTTCCTCCTCTCCCGCTGTTGACTGTGGGGCTGGGGAGGACAGCCTCTCCTGGTGGCTGGTCTGTCTCCAAGGCTACCCTGGTGACTCAGCTACAGGCCCCACTTCTGCCCTTTGGGTTGGAGGCGGGGGTGTGACTGGAAAACCTTGTTTGTGGTTTTTTTTTTTTTTAAGGCAGTTTTGCTTTAATATCTCGTCCAGAAATCAACATGTTCTGGAAATGCCAACATCTGGGCATTCCAACTGTGCCTCCCAGACTGTCTAGTTCTTGGAAATGGTACAACTGTCTTTGTGAGACACTGTGCCCTGATTTGGGGTTCAGAAAACGGTCCCTGTATCCACGTGACTCAAAAAAGAGCTGCCCAGTAAGCCTGGGAAGGTAGCAACTGAGATGTGGGGTACTGGGACCTCGGGGCTCCTCCATTTTGGGGGGTTCTTCCACTTTAGTGGGGTGCTTCTCCATCTTGGGGCCAAGCAGATGACTGCATATGGGAGAGCCCTGGAGCCCATTCAACCTACCCCACCCTCACTTTCAGAGCAGGAAGCTGAGGCCCAGAGAAGCCCGGACCCCTCCCCTTCAGGTGAGGAAGGATACATTCCCAGGATCACGGCTTCCAGGCATTTGATTGGCAGGGCCTCTTTGGTCATTTCCTTGGCCAGGTCCATCAGCCTGTGGGAAAGGGAGGCAGGTCAGTAAGGACAGCGCCTCCAGCCCCTCCAGGGGAATGTGAGAAGGAGGGGGCAGGGTGGACTAGAAATGCTAGAAGGACAGAGGCTGCCCCCTAAGCTGCTCTCAGCTCAGGCCCAGCACCTCCCTCCACACTCCCGACGGACGGAAGTCTGGAGCCTGAGGGGGTGGGAAAGAGGCGGCCACTGCTGATAGGAAGGAGGCCCACTCTCCCTGCTCTTCCCTTCTTTCACTTCCACCTCCCACGCCTGGCTCTTGCTCCAAAGAGCTCTGGGGGAGGGCAGCAGAAGCTGGGGGCAACTTCTCTCCAGCCACCAGGCTGGGGCCTTCTGCGAGGCAGTCGGGGGAGGAGGGACGTCAGCATCGATCTCTTCCCTTCTGAAGCACAGTAGACACCACTGACCCAACCATGGCTTCTCCCAGGAGCTTGTTAATTGACTGCAACTGCCTCCCCGCAGCTGCCTGAGCCTGGATGTGGGATCTTAGGCAGATAGTTACCTGCTGACTACAGATCTGCTCCTGAACTTGGAATTCAGGCCATTTTAAGACAGCCTTTCCCTGAGGCGTGGTTCCTCCCTCTGTCCCCAGCCTGGGAATTCAGCCTGGTCACTGGCTTTGCCCAGGAGGGCACCCAGACTCCTCCATGCCAAGTAAGGCTGGAGTGGTTCCCCAGCACACAGCAGCCACAGGCCAACAAAAGCAAAGCTTTGGGGATAGGGAGGGTGGACTCCATCCAGGGCCTCGGAGAGGGTGTAATTAAGTAATTTTGCTAATAAGCCATTTAAATGCATTTTCACAAAGAAGCAAACATAGATTATGTGTGGGGCAAGATGTAAACTTCATATGAAATTTTTTTTCTTTTTCTTTTTCTTTTCTTTTGAGACAGAGTCTCGCCCTGTCACCCAGGCTGGAGTGCGGTGGCGTGATCTCGGCTCACTGTAACCACCGCCTCTCAGGTTCAAACGATTCTCCTGCCTCAGCCTCCCAAGTAGCTGGGATTACAGGCACCCACCACCACGCCCAGCTAATTTTTGTATTTTTAGTAGAGATGGGGTTTCACCATGTTGGCCAGGCTGGTCTCAAACTCCTGACCTCATGATCCGCCCACCTCGGCCTCCCAAAGTGCTGGGATTACAGGTGTGAGCCACCGTGCCTGGCCAATTCACATGAATTTTTAAAGCCCAGGGGTCTTAAGTCTGTGGGCATCTTTGGGCAGAGCCCCTAGACCCAGCTGTGGCATTCACTCTTCACTCTCCTCTGCCCTCGGGGCTTCATGGGCAGAAACTTTCCAGGGGAAGTGAATCCAGGCAGGGGGCTACACACGGGGTGGCGGGATGGGAAGTGAGAGATGCAACATTCTCTCCAGGGAGCTCCCTGTGCTCAGACCCTGAGCCTGCTACTCAATGCCCAGAAAAGAGTCCACGGAGTAAGGCAAATGGGGTGACCATGCAAGTACCCTGCAATGGGAATCAGCAATGGGGAGTGCGGCAGCCGCAGAACAGAGAAGGGAGGGCTCTCTCCTGCAAGGTCCACCTCTCACTAAAAAACAAAAGATCTGAGGCTCACCTACAATCCACCTAGGACCACCCTCTCTCCTGGCCAAGGCAAGAGCTGGGGGCGGCTCTCCCACCCTCTAGCTCAGCATGGACCCGGGATTTCCTTTTCATCAAGGCAGCCCTGGCTGTTCATCTCAGCCGGATTTTTCTCTTTATGACATCCATAAGGCCCCAGGGTGGCACCTGCCCCCAAAGGCTGGCTTCCTTCAGAAGAGTCCCTGACTGCCCCATAAACTTCCTCTCCAAGGTGCACTATAGGGCTTTCAAGAAGCTCCAAGCCAGCCCTGGGGCAGAGGACTGGCCTCCCCATACTTACCCTGTCAGAGGTCTGCTCTTCTTAATTTCAAAGAACTGTGTCCCTGTGTGATTGTACCTGTGGGCACGGGTTAAGGGCTTCCTAGCTTGGCCTGAAGGAGGTTGACCCTCTCTTCCTGCCTATCCTGAAGCTCAAGAGCCAAGTCTCCTGGAGGGGAGATGGGGGCACAGCATGAATTCTTCTCCCCGCCTCACGCCTCCTTCTCTTTCCCTCTCCCTCACCCTCCTTGGCTTTCTCCCTTGTTCTCCCCTGGCTTCTCTTCTTAGGACAAGAGACATGGAGCAGGCGACCAGTTCGGCGAGGGCCAGAAAGAGGCTGTGGCTGGGAACAGCGCCCTACAGCACTTCATCTTCCAACCAGCTGAGAAGCCACAGGAACTGAGAGGAGGCTAGGGTAGGGGGTCCAACTCAGCCTTTAATTGCTCCTGAGCCAGCCACCTGCCTCACTGGACCAGTTTCCCCACTGGCAGAAGGAGGAGCTGGACCCGATATGCAGTCATCAGCCTGGCTTCTCCCGACCCAGGACCCATGCCTAGCTCTCCCATCTCTGACCTCTGCAGCCAGAAGCCTGGGAGAGAGGACCCAGGACACACAGCTCTGGGGCAGGGTGCAGGGGCAGGGTGCAGGGGCTAGAGCAGGGACACAGAGGAATCTGGGCCCAGGGGAGCCCAGCTCTTCCCCTGCTGGCCAACCATCCTACTGCCAGGGAAAAAAAGGAGAAGAACTGGAGAAAATTCTAGGATCCTGAAGTTACCTCCTGGAGCAGAAAATCCTTTTTCTCTGCCATTTTTCCCTTTATTCAAAATCAGACTTTTAAAAGCCCCAAGGCAGCTCCCTCTCTCCCCCTCTGCTAGGGCTGGGTGGACAACAGAGCAGATCTATCTAGACTTGGCCACCCCACCAGCAAGTCACTCAGGACCCATTTTCCTCTCTTTACCCCATCACACGGCAGGAGCGGGAAGGGGGTGGCAGAGAGTGCAGAGTGGGCCCTGCACTCATCAGACAAAATTCCTCCGACACCCAGGAGGCACACGCGCCGCGTCCCACAGCACCAGGGAGCACAGAGATGTCACGTGAATGGTGGCCCTGGCGTTGTGGAATGAGGCGGCTCTGCTGATACCTCTCCAGCTCTGCCTGGAAACAAGGCCCACCACACCGGCCAGAAGGTGGCCATGACCCTTGACCAGAGAGGATACTGCAGCTCTCTGATGTAGCGCTGCACAGCTTCCAGGCGCTCAGGGACAGGTGTAGACGGCTGGAACGTAGGCACACTCGGTATGGGGATCTGGGGACAGAGAAAGAGCTCCGGTCACAAGAAGAGGCTCACCTTGGAGCTTCCAGTCCACCAAACACCTAGGACTGGCCCCAGAGGCGCCCCACCCTGGGGAGGCACAGCCTCCCCTCCCTCCCACTTGAGCTTCCTTTCTTGGCACCCCACTCATTCGAAGACTCTTGCCAGGGCCCCAGCCCAGCCATTCCTTCCCTCCTGGGACTTAACAGCATTCCTCATTCAGAGTGTATGCTGATGTTCCAATTTTATGCTTCTTTAATAACTTCAGAAAAACATAGGTTAATTCACTGACTATTTTAAATTTTAAATATTCATTAGTTTCAAGACTTAAGAATATAATATTGGGGTTATTTTAGGTTTGAAGTTTGCTCTGGTTCAAGCGCCGGATCAAAGCTGGTATATCCGGGGTCCCATCTTCTCAGGTGGTGCCCTAGGCTTTGGGAGTGGTCCTGAGGGGGGTGAGCATCCTTGGTAGGGGACCCACCCAGTATCATGGGCATATTCGCCATGCCTTCCAGAGCACCAACTTGAACTGTCAAGGAGTCAGTCAGCGGTAGCAGGCCAGAAGGACATATTTTGGAACAGGTCTTGCTGTAGCTCTGTGGCTGGGGCATGCACAGAGGGGCCGGGTCCTCCTCCAAGTCTTCTCTTTCCTGCCAGCTCCACACCTAGTCAGTACAGGTTTCCAGGTACCCAGACAGTCTTCCTCCCCAGAACGCACTTTCCAGCACCCAGCCCAGAAATGGCAGAGGAGAGAACAGGCAGTGTTTCCCGATGCCTGGGAGCCTGGAGGCTGCTGGGGGTAAGGTCAAGAACAGCTGACCCCCAGGCTTCCCTCAGCCTCCAGTCTCCAGAAAAGAGACCATTATGCCAGTATGGGACCCTCTCCAGCCAGGGGAGCCCGGATCTGGCAGTTTGGCTGCCAACAAGTCAGTGAGGCCAAGGAGGCCAAGAGATACATCAGCTAGGGTCCTCCGAGGTTTCAGAACAGACTTCCTTGGGTAGAAGAACCAGACTTCCAGGGAAAAGGCCCACCCCTCAGGGCTCCCCCTTGTCCACCAGCACAGTAGCTGTAAGGCTCCCCACATAGAGAGGTCCCACCCCCTGCCCCCAAGCCTCCACCCGGCCCTCCAAGGCCACACTGAGCCCACCCACCCGATGGGACTGCTGAGAGTCACAGTCTGTGCTCAGGGGCACGTGTGAAGGGAAGGGGGTAGGGCTGGGTAAGGAGGGAAGGATGAAGCTCTTTTCCTCCTTTCCTGGGGAGGCTCTCGAGTGGTGGAGATGCCAGCCCAGCTTTTTAAATAATGTGACCGCAGTGGCTGGGGCTCTGACAAGGAGGGAAGTGACACTCCAGTTATCACTGCACACTCATGTCTGGGGTGTTGCTGATGGCACAGGCACACGGGACAGTGTCTGACAGACACCTCCTCTAAGGGGTGGAGACGCAGGAGGGAAGGGGCCCTGGTCCAGGGCCACAGCGTCGCCTGCACTTCCTCACCCTCCCTCCCGTCGGTCTTCTCCTTCCTGTCTGGGGAGTCCCTAGCAACCGCACTGGCTGCCCTGGCTCCTGAGCCGCTGACGTCTCTGTCTGGAGGGAGCCATTTCCCTTTCACATTGCTCCCCCTCCCCAAACTGGCACCACCACTTACAGTCACCAGCAAGATAAAACCCGGGGTGGGGGGCTCCCCCCTCTTCCTGTCTGGCCACTCTGTACCAAATGGGCCCCAGGGCCTGGCCTGGCCTCCCCATGTCAAGGATACAGGGGTGGGGAGGTGGAAGGGGAATTAGAGGAATTACTTAGCAATTTAAATAGCATGGCACATCCACCCAGTCACCTGATCTCTGCAGGTGGCAGCCCCTGCCAGGCAGGGAAGCATGCAGATTATCCCCATGCACAAGTGGGGATCCAGTGACCTTGAGGAGCTTGGGATAAAGATTGTAGTACACCCTCCCACAAGAAGCTGCAAAAAGGGAGCTGCAGTCCCAGGACTGGATCATTCACCCAGAGCCAGGCCTGGGCCGGGACCAGGCAGTACCCACGAAAGCACTAGCACCTGCTGTGCAGACAAAGGACCTAGGAGCTGGCTGCTCTGGGAGAAGGAAGGTCAAGAAAATACCTGGGGATTCAGAGGCAAGACCTTAAGGCCACCATCACCGAGGCTAGCTCCTTGACTCATGTCACCCCACTGCAGACAGCACCTGCACCTTTTTGTCTGAATGTTCATTACCTACATAGACTCGTTCACTCAAACACAAATAAGAAAGATTCTATATATGCAAATGACCAGGCCCATTTTAGGTCTTGCCCCTCACCCCCACCTCCGAAACAGGAGTCGGGAAATATTTCCTCACTGTTGAGTGGTGGGTTTAAGTGGGGCACGGTAAGGGGGAGTGGTATAGCCACCAGATCTCCCCAGGGAGCACTCCTCCTCCACAGCCAAGGCCAAGGATTCCCCCGGCTCCAGGAACCCCTAGTCCTGAGTTCTACAGAGACATTCTCACTGGAGGGGTCTATTTCAATCGAACACAATGAGGCCTGGGGGAGGTGGGGAGAGCTTGCAGCTGGATGTGTGCGCCCAAAAAGTGTGGCCTAGAGGGCAATAGGGCTGAGTCTCCAACTAGATCATCACTATGGATATTCAGCTCTGCCATTTACAGTCGTGACTTTTTATTTATTTATTTATTTATTTATTTATTTATTTATTTATTGAGACAGAGTTTCACCCTGTCGCCCAGGCTGGAGTGCAGTGGCTCAACTTCGGCTCACTGAAAACCTCATCTCCTGGGTTCAAGTGATTCTCCTGCCTCAGCCTCCAGAGTAGCTAGGATCACAGGCATGCACCACCACATCCAGCTAATTTTTGTATTTTTAGTAGAGATGGGGTTTCACCACATTGGCCAGACTGGTCTCGAACTCCTGACCTCAAGTGATCCACCTGCTTCGACCTCCCAAAGTGCTGGGATTACACCGCACCCGGCCTAGTCGTGACTTTAGTGAAGCTCCTGACCTCCCCTGTGCCTCAGACACTTCATTTATAAAGTGGGCACCAACACAAAATCAGCCTTATAGTGCGAATGAGATGCTGCAGGTCGAGGCCTTAGAGCAGGGTCAGGCACACAGCACAGACTTAATTTGTGTTCACTGTCATCATTATCAGTGTGCCTCGCACATGCTAATCCCAGCAACGTTACCCTTTTAGAGGAGATGTCCAGGCTGGGTGTAGTAGCTCCTGCCTGTAATCCCAGCACTTTGGGAGGCTGAGGCGGGAGGATGGCTTGAGCCCAGGAGTTTGAGACCAGCCTGGGCAATATAGAGAGACCCCATCTCAACCAAAAAATAAAAAAATTAGCCAGGCATGGTAGGGCACACCGGTAGCCCCAGCTACTCTGGAGGCTGAGGTGGGAGGATCACTTGAGCCCAGAAGGTAGAGGCTGCTGTGAGCCATGACTGTGCCACTGCATTCCATCTTAGGTGACCAAGCGAGACGCTGTCTCATAAATAAATCAAAGGAAAGCACTCTGGAGTCATAATAAGTAGCTAGAGGAGATGTCCAAATTCCCATTCTGCAGGAGCTCTGTGGCCTGAGCCATAAGAGACCATAAAAGACCTTCAGCAGCTGGGTCTGGGGTCAGTGGCCACTAAGCTTTTAAAGGGGGTGGAAGCCTGAAACATCAAGGACAGACTCTTATCAAGGAGCCTAAGCTGTTGCTGGATTTGGGATCTTTCTAGAAATTGTTGCCCTATAACATACTGGCATCATCCCTGTAAAGGCTGCTTCTCCAAAGCGCTAGTGGGGTGTCGATGAACACTCACTCCCTGCTCCATTACTGGGTATCTATTAGAGGCACTTAATGAAGCATCACATGCTTTGCATCATTAATTCCTCTAACATCCTCTTGATGGGCATTGCTATTAGCTCCATTTCACAGCTGCGGAAAACTGAGGCACAAGAAAGTTGCCTGTCTTCCTCATATAAGTAGTTATGGGAGATCAAGGATTTGAACATGGTAGCTTTGACTCCAGAGTGCTCTCCTTTTATGACACCAGCCTGCAGGGGTCCCAGACTCAACCACATGCAGGGGCCGGGCAAGTAACATACACGGGGCAGGCAGGCCTGGTAGGTGAGTGGTGGAGACAGTGGCAAGATGGGGGAGTAGGACTCACTCCCCAGCCCCAGCTGACAGCTGCCACGTGGGACTGCAGATTCCCATGTGTTCCCAAGTCTTCTTATTTTCTGAAAAGATGCCAAAACTCTGGATCTTTATGTGAGAAATCTCCCAATTTTCCCAACAAAACACTTCTTGAGCCCCACACTGTGTGGCCGCTGTAGGGAATGACCCTGTGCCAGCTCCAGTGGCATGGCCCCTAGGGATGGTAAGGGCGGGGTCAGCCCACCCTGCCACTGGCACCCTGGCACCCAGGCACCCAACCCACGCTGCTTCTCTCCAAGGCCTCCTGGACTCCACTGCACTCCCAGACTCTAAGGGTACCTTTCTACTCAGAGCCCAGGTAGAGGAGGGACCTCATGCAGACTCATGCGATTTATCTGAGATCTGTGGTTTGAAGAGGGGGAGGTTCAAATTTTTCCAAACCTCTCACAAAATTCCTTCTACCCTAGCGATGGAAGTCTAGGGGTCTGTCACAACACAGCCCCCACCCCTAGACTTCCTTCATCCGTGTCTTTCCTGTACATGAGGACTGAAGATGACAGAATGACATTACAGACCAGTTACTAGTGAGCTCACTATTTCTTTTTTAGTTCCCAGGAGTGGTGGCAGTTCTGCAGGGAACCATTCACACTCTTTTATGGCCTGATTTAGACATAAGCAAGATGGCTGGAGAGCTGCCCGACTTGTTCACGTGGGAGCAGGGTGTGACTCTGGCCTCATCGGGACAAATGATCTGAGCAAAACCCAGTCTTGCCGCTTGATAAAGCACATAAGTAAAGGTGATGGATGTCTGGCCGGGCGTGGTGGTTCACGCCTGTAATCCCAGCACTTTGGGAGGCTGAGGTGGGTGGATTACCTGAGGTCTGGAGTTTGAGACCAGCCTGGCCAAAATGTTGAAAATGAAACCCCATCTCTACCAAAAATACAAAAATTAGCCAGGTGTGGTGGTAGGTGCCTACAATCCCAGATACTCAGGAGGCTGAGGCAGGAGAATCACTTGAACCAGGGAGGTGGAGGCTGCAGTGAGCCAAGATCATGCCACTGCACTCCAGCCTGGTGGAAAGAGTGAGACTCCATCTCAAAAAAAAAAAAAAAAGGTAACTGATATCCAATAACCAGGTACTGGTTTGGGGCTTTACAGTTTGTTAAATACTTTAACACACAGTCTCTCATTTCTTCCCCACAATCAACCTCATCTTATTGATAAGAAAACTGCATCTCAAATAGGTGGAAGAGGCCATATAGATAAGCAGGTGACCCCTACCAATGTCAATATCCTTTGACGCAATACTTTCGCTTTCAGAATTTTTCCCAAGGAAATAATCAGAGATGAACCCCAAAATTTATATTTTAGAATGTTCACCATAGTATTCATTTTAGGAATAAAACTGGAAACAACATCCAACTCTAGGGGATTAGCTAAATAAATATTAAGTCAGTGCAGAGCACATTTATGCGGCCATTCCAAATCAATCTACATTTTGTTTCCCCTGGAAACATTAGGCAGTATTTAAACCTTCAACCTTTGATTCTCTTTTTCCCAGAAGACACTTTCTGATGGCTGTACCAATAACTTGGTAAAAACAAAACGGGCCACTTGTCCTCATGTCTAATTCACACTAACTTCCATTCTTCCTAGCCCCCTTCCTTCCAACCTGGGCAGGCAGGGCTAAGCACTGGGCTCTGAACTCAGTCCAAAGGGCTCTTTTTTGGAGATTTCAGGCCTCTGCATTTGGCAAAGTGCCTCCTAGTCTTGATCATGTTTTTTTTTTTTTTAATATCTGGCATGTATTTCCATATAGCAGCGTACAGCACAGAAACTCTCAAATACCCTTTCATTCAGCAAACACACACACTAGTGCCTGTTCTGTGCCAGGCACACAGGAGGCCTTGGGAAGACAAAGATGAATGAGATACAGCCTCTGTTTTCGTTGGTGACACAACTGAAGTATAGCTGTCATGGAGGAGGAGTTACAGCCAACACAGAAAAATTATTTCATTTTATGCTTCTCCATAAGACCTCTTCTAATGTGCTTGAATCTACTGTCCAACAGAGAAGAGGACCTGGACACTTCCCTCCACCACCACCCCCCGCCCTTCTCCTGAAGACCTGAAATTGAATCTCAGTTCTGCCACTTACTGGCTGTGGGATCTTGAGTTCCTACTTGAGTTTTCAGCTTTCTCATCTGTAAAATGGGAATCCAAACTGTACTTACGTCACAAGGCTGTTGGGAGAATTCAATGACATAATGCACGAAAATATTTTCTCAACATATGAAGCCCTGCATCTCCTTAGTCATTCATTACATTTGTCTGCTCACAGTTCTCTGGCTTGGCAAGTGTCATCAAGCAAATGAGACGTCAAGCCATCCTACTGTGTTTGTTAGTTCCATCTGCTGCTGTCCCCTCCTGTAAAACGTGGACATTTTAAAAGACAGCGGGGAGGGCCTCCTGGAGACAATGTATGTGAGCCTCCCTCCTAGAATGGCAGTGAGAGAAAGTTCTCCTAGACAGGTATGATATCACTGCATTTTAAAGATCTTACCGAGCCAGTGGTCCCCTGCCCCGTGGGAGGAGAGTGTGGCTTCACTCTTGGCCCCAAGGTCACTAAAACCTAGACTGTGCTATCACCCCCCTGACCCGTGTGTCTCACCTTGGGCAGGTCTGTGGCCCCACGGATCCGTTGCGCCACCTTCTCTCCATCGGGGTGGATCTTGGCCACGTGTTTCCACATCCTTTCCCAGGTGGCCTCATCCACAGGTAGCCCACCCCGGTTGACAAAGAAGGGGACGCCTCCGTCTCGCAGGTCCTCTTCCCCTTCCTCTTCTGGCTCCTCATCTCTCTGGGCTGAGGTTCCTTCGCTGGTCTCCAAACGCCTGACCCCAGAGGGGGCGGTGGCCGCAGCGGACGTTGGAGTGGCACCGCTGCTGCCACCCCCAGCCACCTTCTTCCCCCCTGGCATCCCTAAATCTTCGAGGGGGGTGGTGGAGGCGGGAAAACAACTGGCTCACAAGAGGCCTCCCACACACCGGCTGCAGAGATAACACATGGCCAGAGTGCAAGGCGCCTTTAAGAAATCAGGGCGTGGCTCCTGTACAATAAAATACGACTTGATAAAAAAAATCAGTGCAATAAGGTGAATTAGGGTCCGAGGGGGTGGGTTGTCTGGGGTCAGCCTTGGAGGCCTTGTTCTGTTTGAAAAACGGAATAAAGAGAACACACCCCAACTTGGCAGCCGTCACAAAGCACCCCCATCTAACTGCGAGAACAATGACGGGCAGCAGTGAGGGCTGGCAGAGCGGAGAAAAGTCGGAGGGAAACTGAGGCCAGACAGCTCGGACCAGCGGCTGCAGAAAGGACAGAGTCAAGGCACGGGTGCCCACTGGGCGCCCTGGGTCTCAGTTTCGGAGGGAACAAAATCCCCTACACAACTCTCGCACGCTCACATCTGCGCGCGCCCCAAGGAAGACCGAGGCGACTCCCGGCCGCGCGAGCTCGGAACCAAGACCCCCGGGCGGGAGAGCGGCGCTGGGGGGCGATTTCTCCGACGCGACGAGACAAGTCCGGGAGCCAAGACTCGCAGCTGGCCGGGAGCGGGGAGGGGGCGCGCGCCGACGCGCACATTCCCCGCCTGCGGCCAACTCCCTGCACAAAGTGGGCTTTGTCTGGGTCCCCTGTCCCCTCGTCCCCAGAAACAGCGGCGGAGTCCCCAGAAAGGGAGCGGGCGCGGCGGGGAGGCGAAGGCTGCGAGCCCCGAGGCCCAGCGGGTCCCCACTCGGGCGCGTCTCAGCGGGAGGACGGCTGGCACCTGGCGCCGCGCTGCACCAGCCGAGCCATCGCAGGGCACGGGGCCCGCGGCTCAGCGGGACCGGCTCGGGCGGCGCGCAGGGGCCAGGCTGAGGTCACTGAGCGGCGGGCTGCGGCCGCGGGGTCGCTGCCTGGGACTGGCTGCAGCATGGGCGGTGGCGCGGCCCGGGCGGGCGGAGGATGCTCCGTGGCTGTTCGCTCGGGCTGCAGCTGCCCTGGCTGAGGGTGGAGGAAGGACCGCGGGGCGGGGACCGCAAGCCCGGAGGCTCGCGCAGCCTCGGCCGGCGGATGTAGCTGGAGGCGAGTGACGAAGCCGGGCGAGCGCGCGCTGCGCTGGTGCCTGGGGAGCAGCCCGCCAACGCGGAGCCCGCCAACGAGAAGCCCACCAGCCGATCGCTGCTCGGCGAAGCTGGGGCCGCCGCTGCTGCAGCCCCGCCGCCCCTGGGCCCCGCTGCCGCCGACCACGTCCCCTGCCAGCCAGCCGCCCACCAGGCTCGACTACGGCCCGCGCCGCGCATGCGCTCCGTCCCCCCCTTAAAGGGCCAGCGCCTTCGCGCCCAGTCCTCCGCCCCCCGCGGCGGTGCCTCTGTCCCAAGTTACCCCAAGGACGCCGGTGGGCATTCGCTCCCTCCTCACCCAGCTGTCAGGGCGCCGCGAAGCCGGTGCGAAGCTGCGGAGGACGTTTTCAACGTGCCAGAGGGAGCGCAAACTCCATGGAGATTCCTAGCGCAGAAGGAATTCCTGCGGTCGGGAATTTCTTGAAAAAGATTCTTCGCAGGGGCCCTGAGCCGGTAGGACCGAGAGCACTGGCCTGGAAGACTGGGATTCTAGACCGGATTCAGTGCCTGTGTTGCTTTGGGACGTTCAGCAGTTCCCTTCCCTCTGTAGGCCTCAGTTTCCCCATATCCCAGCCGAGGTGGTCACAGTGAGTGAGCGCAGAGTCCCTCCCAGCGCGCACAGTTCTTAGAGGAGGACATCTAGGGATTGAGACGGGGGGTCACTATCTCTGGAAACGAAAAGGGTTAAAAGTCACCCTGTTTTATTCGATTGCCTGCACTGGTGGGAATGGGGTGCGCAGAGCTCACCCCTAGACCATCTGCCTAGACCGGGCTTTGGACGCTCTGGACCCCGCGGACCAGGGTGGGACCGCGACGTGGGCGTGGGAGGCAATGCTTGGGGAGGGTCCGCTGGCCTAGAGGAAGGTGAAAGTACAACCAGCTGTGGTGCGTGGTTGGACACTGGACGCACCCTCCGCCTCCCTCATGCCATAGAGTTGTAAATGGTGGGAAAGGCACTATCTCTAGGCTGAAGCCAAGAACTTTAGGAAGAGACGGCCGAGTGTGTGCTTTAAGATGCTCCCCCTCTCCCCTGCCTGTAGTTAGCATGAATCACAGTCTTGTGGGAGAATGCAGATTCCTTGGCCTTAGCCGGCAGATTCAGATTCCTTAGTTGTGGGGTCGTTGCATTTCTTGACAAGCTGAGGTTACTACACAAGGGCTGGGTTAAAGGCCTTAGAGAGACCCCAGGGCCTCAGTGGTTTCACATCTGTTCTCTAAAGCTGTCCCTAGTATCTGAACTTTCTGGGTACCCTGTGCTCCCGTAGCAACCTCTTACTACCTCCAGGGTCAGAAACCAAGGGTTATCAGTGATGGGAAGGATTGCAAGACTCCAAGAAAGTTAGTTCAGCCTGGATCTTCTTAAACTCACTAAGGCAAGAAGACTCCAAGCGTAGAAAAATCACTAGGGATCAACAACTATCACCCTGTATTGTATAAACCAAGTCTCAGAGGGTAATTTCCCCAAACTCACACAGCTAGTAAGTGGCAGAGCTAGAATGTGAACAGAAGTCTTACTTCTTCAGACACTTGTTTTTCACTCTATACATTGCTTCTTGTGTTAGCCAAGTGGTGCTGGTTTTAAAATTGGCTTGCAAGCTCTTGACCATTCTTTTCAAAAGATGGGATCTAATTCCTTTCCCCCTGAATGTGGGATGTACTTGGTGACTGGTGTCTAATGAATAAAGTGTGATGAAAGTGAAGCTGTATGACTCTTAAGACCAGGCCATAAAAAGGAGACAGCTTCTTCTTGGTTCCTCAGAAGAAACCAGCTACCATGTTGTGAAGAAGCCCAAGCCACATGGTGAGGCCACATGAGGGTGTTCTCGCTGACAGCTGCTGCTGGGCTCTCAGCCAACAGCCAGAGTCAATCACCAGATCATGGCAAACCGAGACTTCAGGTCTTGCCAGCCCTCGGCCTTTAAGTCTTAGAGTTGAGGTCCCAGACATGGAGCAGAGAACAACCAGCCCTGCTGTGCCCTGTCTGACTTTCTGTCCCACAGAAATTGAGAGAGGATAAGTGACTATTCTCGTTTTAAGCTGCTAAGTTTTGGACTAACTTGTTACGCAGCATGAGATAATACCATGTGTTTTCTGAAATGACAAATAAAATAGATGTAGGGTATTCATTCAAAGAGTAAGTACTCATAGAACATCTTCTATGTGTTTGACTCTGTACTGGGCACTGGAGAAGCAGTAGTGAACAAGAGGGACATGGCCTTTGCTCTAGTTGGACTTATGGCCTACTAGTGGAGGAGATAGTTAAGCATGATTTCCATAAGGTGCTCTGCCAGAGGGTTATTCAGGAAGCTGTGGGAGTGCATACCCAGAGCAACTTCCCAATCAGGTGAGGAGCTGGGAAAAGAAGAAATGAGTTGGGTACAAGGTCAGCATGGACTAGGCTAGAGAATTTTCTGGCATGTGTGCATAGAAGTGGAAGAGGGTATGTGTCAGGCAAGGGGGCTTGCAAATAGATTAGAAAATGGTGAAACTGGAAAGAGATGTGTATAACCCAGTCTTATCTAAGCCAAAAGCCCAGAGAGAACAAGTGACTTAACCTGGTATGGCACAACTTTTGAATTGGTCTCAGATCCTGGGTCCTTCATCAAGCCCTCCCATGACTCCCCACACCTATGCCTTGGGAACAACTCCTCCAACAGACACTTGGGTAACTCCTTATTTGGCTCAAAGCTTTCGTGACCGTTATTTTTCTTTTTTTTCTTTTTTTTTTTTTTCCCCTGAGACAGAGTCTCGGTCTGTCACCCAGGCTGGAGTGCAGTGGCTCGATCTCTGCTCACTGCAGCCTCTGCCTCCCAGGTTCAAGTGATTCTCTGCCTCAGTTTCCTGAGTAGCTGGAATTATAGGTGCCTGCCACCATGTCTGTCTAATTTTTGTATTTTTAGTAGAGATGGGGTTTCACCATGTTGGCCAGGCTGGTCTCCAACTCCTGACCTCAAGTGATCTGTCTGCTTCGGCCTCCCAAATTGCTGGGCTTACAGGCGTGAGCCACCGCGCCCGGCCCTCATGACAATTATTCCTTTTGCTGTCTTCACAAAAACCGTGGAAGAGTTAGGATGAGTATGATTTCCATTTTACAGATGAAGAAAGGATGCATAAGAGAAGCTAGGCAAATTACATACCTAGTACAGGAGCAGGCACATCTGAGCTGCTGGGTACAAGTCACTTTCATGATGACAAGGATGACGATAATGACGCCTAACTCATATCATGTGTCACATTTGTTATCGTCACACTCTGGACTAATGGTCTGCAAATGAACGCATGTTGTCTTAGGGCATCAACACTCATATTAATCTGCTCTGACACATTTTCTATTCTTGTGACACAGAAGCTAGAGTGAAATTTCCAGAGAGAAGAGTCTGTTGACTTAGCTTGGATCCTTGGCTAGAGGAGGATGGGGCAATTTCATTAGCCAAGACTACAGGTGGTTGGGGGAGAAGGACTGCCCTAAAGGTAAATGGGGTGCTGTTAGTAAAAGAGGGGCATGGAGGCACACAGGTATAGATGTGTTTATAAAAGGTAGATGTTCTGACTCAACTTTTTGCTGTTTTCATGTTCATAATTTATGAGGTAAAAGAAGAAAAGAAAAGGAGTTTAATCCCAAGAAAGAATCACAGAGCAGAACTGTCCAATAGAAATTTCTGCAATGGGCCAGGCGCAGTGGCTCATGCCTGTAATCCCAGCACTTTGGGAGGCTGAGGGGGGTGAATCACGAGGTCAGGAGTTCAAGACCAGCCTGGCCAATATGGCAAAATCCTGTCTGTACTAAAAACTACAAAAAAATAGCTGGGCGCAGTGGCAAGCACCTGTAATCCCAGCTACTGGGGAGGCTGAGGCAGGAGAATTGCTTGAACTCAAGTGGCAGGGGTTGCAGTGAGCCGAGATTGCATCACTGCACCACAGCCTAGGTGATAGGGTGAGACTCCATCTCAAAAAAAAAAAGAAAAGAAATTTCTGCAATGGTAGCCAGAAGTTCAGTATGGTAGCCAGAAGTCATATGTGTCTATTTAAATTTGAATTTAATTAACATTAAATAGAATTAAAAGTTCAGTTTCTCCAATCACGCTAGCCATATTTCAAGTACTCAGTAGCCATTATGGCTCATAGATACTGTAATGAATAGTACAGATTATAGAACATGTCCATCACTGCAGAAATTTCTTTTCTTTTTCTTTTCTTTTTTTTTTTTTTTGAGATGGAGTCTCACCCTGTCGCCTAGGCTGTGGTGCAGTGATGCAATCTCGGCTCACTGCAACCCCTGCCGCTTGAGTTCAAGCAATTCTCCTGCCTCAGCCTCCCCAGTAGCTGGGATTACAGGCGCTTGCCACTGTGCCCAGCTAATTTTTTGTAATTTTTAGTACAGACAGGATTTTACCATATTGGCCAGGCTGGTCTTGAACTCCTGACCTCGTGATTCACCCCCCTCAACCTCCCAAAGTGCTGGGATTACAGGCGTGAGCCACTGCGCCTGGCCCATTGCAGAAATTTCTATTGGACAGCTCTGCTCTGTGATTCTTTCTTGGGATTAAACTCCTTTTCTTTTCTTCTTTTACCTCATAAATTATGAACATGAAAACAGCAAAAAGTTGAGTCAGAATCTTCATTCATTTACTCAATAAACATATACTAAATATCTACTCTGAATCATACATGGTTGTAGGCACCAGGGATACCTGGCGAGGATCTTGGAGCACTTCTGGTCCAGTGGAGCTTACATTAGGATCACCCCAGGGGCTCTTAAAATTCTTGATCCTCAGTCTGCACCCTGCAGAAATCCTGATGAAACTGGTTTGGAGTGGGGCTTGGTACCCATAGTCTAGAAAAGATCTCCAGGTAATGCGAATGGTAGCTGGGCTTGGAACCACTGAGATCTAGACTGGCCAGTGAAACGATTTGCTTCAGGTCACCTGAAAACCTGAATCTGCCTGGGTCTGACTTCCGCTCTGGGGTTTGCGTGACAAAATCAGAGAGTTTTTCATGGATTTGGCATCTGTCTGAATTGACTGCTAAATTCTTAGAGAACAAGTCTGTTTTTCCTTAATCCAAACAGAATCCAGTTCACTTCAGGTAAAGTGCCAAAAGGACCTCTGGCTTGGGATTCATTTTAAATCACTGCTTTCTCAAACTGTCCGTTTTGTTTCTGGAACTGAATTACTCAGCCAAGTGAGTGAAAGTCTATAAAAATAGCTCCTCTTCACTGAGCCCCGAGTGTAGGTCCGGTGCTTTACCTGCAGAGTTTCATTTAATTCCCAGGTCAATCTCGCAGGGTAGGTATTGCTGACATCAGTTTACAAGTGGGCAAACTGAGATTCAGAGCCATTGAGGATTGTAATTTGTTCAGGGTGGCACAGCTGATATGATAATTTCAGAGTTCATGTTTTTTCCCCTACACCGCTCTGCAGCTACCCCACAGCCGAGAGCGTGGGGCAGCTGGCAGATGGCAGCATTCTACTCTGGCTTCACATAGGAAAGAAAGCTTTGTGCTGGTGAAGCTCCAGACATGATCCGGACAATTGTTACCTGAGCTCAGTGACAGTACTAGGGGCCTGGAGGAAAGGGAGACTTGGGGATAAGACAGATGAGCAGATTTGGAGTTGAGTTCTTTTTGTTGATGGTTATGCCTGGATTCCTTTTATTGAGGGATTTGGAAGAAGCAGCTAAGAGCAATGTGGCGCCTGAAGCAGTTAGTTCTAAGACACCTAGCAATGATGATGCATGCTTGGTATAAGCATTATCTATTCTTGGCCTGGATTCCCGTGGGCTGGCAGAGTGGCTGTGTTGCCATGTATCTTTGCAATCTGATCTCTGCCTGATACTTCCCGGGCAGCCTGGTGTGGCCTCCAGGGGCTCGGAAGGGCCAGGACTCATTGTGTCCATTCCAAAGAACTCTAACAGAGAGATCTCACCCCTGCCATTCTCTGGGGGCCACCTTATACAGTAGTAGGAGATCCAGGCCTTGACAAGCAGCAAGGGCTGGTCTTAGAATGGATCAGGGCTTGTCTGCATCTCATTCAGCAGGTCCATGTGGGAGCAAAGCCACGACTGCTGGTAGAAAGAGTGCAGAGTAGGCCGGGCGTGGTGGCTCACGCTTGTAATCTCAGCACTTTGGGAGGCCGAGGCGGGTGGATCACGAGGTCAGGAGATCGAGACCATCCTGGCTAACACAGTGAAACCCCATCTCTACTAAAAATACAAAAAATTAGCCGGGTGTGGTGGTGGGCGCCTGTAGTCCCAGCTACTCAGGAGGCTGAGGCAGGAGAATGGCGTGAACCTGGGAGGCGGAGCTTGCAGTGAGCCGAGATGGCACCACTGCACTCCAGCCTGGGTGACTGAGCGAGACTCTGTCTCAAAAAAAAAAAAAAAAAAAAAAAAAAAAAAAGAGTGCAGTAGAGCACAGCTCGAAAGACCCTTCAAGATTTTCTTGTCTAACTCTCATTTCATAGATAAAATACTGAGGCTCAGAGAAGTGACAGGATTTAGGATTACACAGCCAGCTGGTGGTGGGATTACACTTGAACTCAGGGCTCTCCTGATTCCTGGCCCAGTCTGCCTTCCCTGATGTGTCCACTAGCAGGGAAGAAGCTGGTAGTAGGTGAGCCCTTGAAAGCACTGCAGTGGCAAAAGGGAGAGAGAAGGTCTTCCCACATTAAGGGAGAGAGAAGGTCTTCCACATTAAGGGAGAGAGAAGGTCTTCCCACGTTTGTTTCAGGGTGTGGCCAAGCTGTGTGTGTCAATGGGTGGCTGTGGATGGGGTGTGTATTTAGAAAAGCTGTCTTCAACTTGAAGGACTGGGTGATGGCCACTCTCTTTTCCAGGCAAATCACACTCATCCAGACTTGTATCCCTCCCATTGTTAGAAAACATGGTATTTCCCCCAGCGTTTTTCTCCATGCACTGTGGCAGGTGTTTGGATAGTCGGGGAGCGATCGGCGATTGAGTCAGGCAGGAATGGCCAGGCTGTGGTAGTTTCTCTCAAACTGTGGTCAAGGCTCTGGGTGTCCCCGAAAGAATCAAAGTCTGATCTCAGCCTCCCTGTTCAATGGATAGGACCCAGACTTGGAGACAGGGAGAAACAGAGGGAGTTCTGAGATGCTGGTACATCCTGAAGACTAGATCAAAACCATTTACAAGATGCAAGTCTGTAGGTCCATGAGGTGGGCTGGGTTTATTTCTTGAGGCTTGGTTCTCAAGGGAGACTTCACTTTAATTCGACAACAGTTTCTGAGTGCTTATACTATATGCATGGTGTAGCATAATTTGCTGCAGGAGATGCAGATACGTAAGACATTGCTATGGCCCCCTGAGGTTGCGTCGAAGATGACACATCCCAATAACTTTTTGAACCCTTACCATGGGCCAGGGGCTCTACATTTATGTAATCCTTACCATAATCCTGCAAATGGGGATTCTACTTTCCATTTTTTAGATGAGGAAATGGCCTGAGAGAAGCTAAACAACTGTTCCTCTGTCATGGCCAGTGAGTGGCTGAGCACGTTCAGAAGCTGTGCCCTTTCTGCGGTACCAGGAGGCCACCAGCTAACCACAAGATGTGGCAGACTCAGGCCAATGCTCCAAACCAGGCTTCAACAAGGTGTTTGAGGAGCACAGAGTGAGTGATTTGTTCTAATCTAGGCAACCGTGTTTGGCTTTAAGCACTGTTGATATTTAAAGCTGCACACTTCTTTGTTGTGGGGCCTGTCCTGTGCACTGTAGGACGGCTAGTGGCATTCAGGCCCTGTACTCACTAGATGCCAGTGGCAACCTTTCCCATTGTGACACTCACTCCCACTTGGGAACCACTGGTTTTAGGTAAGAAAGGGTCTTCAACCTAGGCTTATAAAGATTTTGTAGACAAGGATTTCGCAAACAAAAAAGGGAAGAAAACACTCATTCGTCTCATGTTTTTCCATTTGACAAAGGGTGTCCACTTAGATTTTCCAATTTGGTCTTTGCATTTGTCCTGTGGTTGAGTGCATCAACTTACAAAGCAAATTACAGCGACATACAGTTGCTAGCAGGCTGCAGTGCAGGCTGGGGGCTTCTCATCCATTGCAAGTTTCCTCAGTACCCAGCTCCTCTGTGGCCTTTGTGTTCAGCCTGTGTTTAATGCCTATTTTCTGTCCTTCATCTACTCTCCTTCCAGGGGGCTTTTTAGGGTATCTATTTTATCATCAACAGCTGCCACCAACTACAGACACTCATTTGGGGGTTAACTCTGTGTTAAGGGCTTTGCATAGCACCCCTAGAGGAAAGGTGTCCTTATCATCCCCATTCTGGAGGAAATGAAGGTTAGGAGAGGGAAGAAACGTGCCCAATTCACAACCCTGCTAAGTAGGGGAGGAGGCAGGACTTGAACCCAGACCTTGCTGAGCCTCCTCTCTTCACCACTGTGCTCTGTTGCCTCCCAAGAATGCCCTTTCCCCATCGTGCTGCCCACAGGGCTCTATGTACCCCTGTGATATGCTCACAGGAGAACATAGGCAGCAGCCAGCTCCAGCTGGCTTGGTGGGGGTGGGGTGAAGGGGGGCGAGAGTGCCCTTCCTACCCATCAGTTGTGCTGGGAAAGGGAAGACATGTTTCTGGTGGATCCTCTCCCCGTTGAGGGGTGATTATCCAGCCTGCTTGGCATTCAGCAATGAGAGAAGGCTTCCCATGAGCAGGGCAGAGCGCCCAGCCAGACTGCAAGACAAATGGGTGGCATATGCACTCCAGCCCAGTGCACAATCAGCTTGTGATTCTGCATCTGCCAGCAGGGAAATAATGCTCTATTACTGCAGGAGGAGCGAAGAAACATAACATCCGAGGCTGGGTCCTGAGATTGTTTTTACCTCTGTCCTCATCCCTTCTCTCTGGGGTCGTGGCCAGATGCTCCCTGCTTTGGGAACATTAGTTATGAAGCTTGTAGGGGGTTTAGCTCCACAGGGTCAGACCTGCAGGTGCAAACAGGCCCTAGGCGAACCCCCTGGAGGAAACGTTGACATTCCTGTTCTGTCCAGCTCACAGAACACTCTTGTTCACTCCCTTATTGCTGTGGGGAAAGACAGGGAAAAAGTGATGGGACCACTGAGGTAGTCCCTGGAGATGAGAGAGAAGGGTGGCCTGTTTACATCCATCACAGGCAGGCTGGGTTAGGGACAACAAAGATGGTCAGGTTCCAAATTTTCTTGAGTCGGGACTAAAGTAGCATCTTGTTAGTGTTTGCTGGGTTGGATAAAGCAGGGCTTCTCAAACCTGAGTGTGCCTCAGAAGAACCTGGGGGGCTCCTTACAGCACAGATGGCTGGACCCTGCCTCTAGAGTTTCCTACTCAGCAGATTTGGGCGAGGTCTGAGAACCTGCATTTCTTTTCTTTTTTTTTTATACTTTAAGTTTTAGGGTACATGTGCACAATGTGCAGGTTTGTTACATATGTATACATGTACCATGTTGGTGTGCTGCACCCATTAACTTGTCATTTACATTAGGTATATCTCCTAATGCCATCCCTCCCCCGCTCCCCCGACCCCACAACAGGCCCCGGTGTGTGATATTCCCCTTCCTGTGTCCAAGTGTTCTCATTGTTCAATTCCCACCTATGAGTGAGAACATGCGGTGTTTGGTTTTTTGTCCTTGCGATAGTTCGCTGAGAATGATGGTTTCCAGCTTCATCCATGTCCCTACAAAGGACATGAACTCATCATTTTTTATGGCTGCATAGTATTCCATGGTGTATATGTGCCACATTTTCTTAATCCAGTCTATCATAGTTGGACATTTGGGTTGGTTCCAAGTCTTTGCTATTGTGAATAGTGCCGCAATAAACATACGAGTGCTTGTGTCTTTATAGCAGCATGATTTATAATCCTTTGGGTATATACCCAGTAATGGGATGTCTGGGTCAAATGGTATTTCTAGTTCTAGATCCCTGAGGAATCGCCACACTGACTTCCACAATGGTTGAACTAGTTTACAGTCCCACCAGCAGCGTAAAAGTGGTCCTATTTCTCCACATCCTCTCCAGCACCTGTTGTTTCCTGACTTTTTAATTATTGCCATTCTAACTGGTGTGAGATGGTATCTCATTGTGGTTTTGATTTGCATTTCTCTGATGGCCAGTGATGATGAGCATTTTTTCATGTTGTCTTTTGGCTGCATAAATGTCTTCTTTTGAGAAATGTCTGTTCATATCCTTCGCCTGCTTGTTGATGGGGTTGTTTGTTTTTTTCTTGTAAATTTGTTTGAGTTCTTTTTATTTTATTTTATTTTATTTTTTTATTGATCATTCTTGGGTGTTCTCACAGAGGGGGATTTGGCAGGGTCATAGGACAATAGTGGAGGGAAGGTCAGCAGATAAACAAGTGAACAAAGGTCTCTGGTTTTCCTAGGCAGAGGACCCTGCGGCCTTCCGCAGCGTTTGTGTCGCTGGGTACTTGAGATTAGGGAGTGGTGATGACTCTTAATGAGCATGCTGCCTTCAAGCATCTGTTTAACAAAGCACATCTTGCACCGCCCTTAATCCATTTAACTCTGAGTGGACACAGCACATGTTTCAGAGAGCACAGGGTTGGGGGTAAGGTCACAGATCAACAGGATCCCAAGGCAGAAGAATTTTTCTTAGTACAGAACAAAATGAAAAGTCTCCCATGTCTACTTCTTTCTACACAGACACGGCAACCATCCGATTTCTCAATCTTTTCCCCACCTTTCCTGCCTTTCTATTCCACAAAACCGCCATTGTCATCCTGGCCCGTTCTCAATGAGCTGTTGGGCACACCTCCCAGACGGGGTGGTGGCCGGGCAGAGGGGCTCCTCACTTCCCAGTAGGGGCGGCCGGGCAGAGGTGCCCCTCACCTCCCAGACAGGGCGGCTGTCCGGGCGGGGGGCTGACCCCCCCACCTCCCTCCCGGACAGGGCGGCTGGCTGGGCAGAGGGGTTCCTCACTTCCCAGTAGGGGCGGCCGGGCAGAGGTGCCCCTCACCTCCCGGACGGGGCGGCTGGCCGGGCGGGGGGCTGACCCCCCCACCTCCCTCCCGGACGGGGCGGCTGGCCTGGCGGGGGGCTGATCCCGGACGTCGCGGCTGGCCTGGCTGGTGCTGACCCCCCCCCACCTCCCTTCCGGACGGGGTGGCTGCCAGGCGGAGATGCTCCTCACTTCCCAGACGGGGTGGCTGCCGGGCGGAGAGGCTCCTCACTTCTCAGACGGGGCGGCTGCCGGGCGGAGAGGCTCCTCACTTCTCATACGGGGCGGCTGCCGGGCGGAGGGTCTCCTCACTTCTCAGACGGGGCGGCCGGGCAGAGACGCTCCTCACCTCCCAGACGGGGTGGCGGCTGGGCAGAGGCGCTCCTCACATCCCAGACGGGGCGGCGGGGCAGAGGCGCTCCCCACATCCCAGACGATGGGCGGCCGGGCAGAGACGCTCCTCACTTCCTAGATGTGATGGCGGCCGGGAAGAGGTGCTCCTCACTTCCCAGATGGGATGGCGGCCGGGCAGAGACGCTCCTCACTTTCCAGACTGGGCAGCCAGGCAGAGGGGCTCCTCACATCCCAGACGATGGGCGGCCAGGCAGAGACGCTCCTCACTTCCCAGACGGGGTGGCAGCCGGGCAGAGGCTGCAATCTCGGCACTTTGGGAGGCCAAGGCAGGCGGCTGGGAGGTGGAGGTTGTAGCGAGCCGAGATCACACCACTGCACTCCAGCCTGGGCGCCATTGAGCACTGAGTGAACCAGACTCTGTCTGCAATCCCGGCACCTCGGGAGGCCAAGGCTGGCGGATCACTCGCGGTTAGGAGCTGGAGACCAGCCCGGCCAACACAGCGAAACCCCGTCTCCACCAAAAAAATACGAAAACCAGTCAGGCGTGGCGGTGCGCGCCTGCAATTGCAGGCACTCCGCAGGCTGAGGCAGGAGAATCAGGCAGGGAGGTTGCAGTGAGCCGAGATGGCAGCAGTATAGTCCAGCTTCGGCTCGGCATGAGAGGGAGACCGTGGAAAGAGAGGGAGAGGGAGACCATGGGGAGAGGGAGACCATGGGGAGAGGGAGACCATGGGGAGAAGGAGAGGGAGAGGGATAGGGAGAGCTTGAGTTCTTTGTAGATTCTGGATATTAGCCCTTTGTCAGATGAGTAGATTGCAAACATTTTCTGCCATTCTGTATGTTGCCTGTTCACTCTGATGGTCGTTTCTTTTGCTGTGCAGAAGCTCTTTAGTTTAATTAGATCCCATTTTTCAGTTTTGGCTTGTGTTGCCATTGCTTTTGGTGTTTTAGACATGAAGTCCTTGCCCATGCCTCTGTCCTGAATGGTATTGCCAAGGTTTTCTTCTAGGGTTTTTATGGTTTTTAGGTCTAACATTTAAGTCTTTAATCCATCTTGAATTAATTTTTGTATAAGGTGTAGGGAAGGGATCCAGTTTCAGCTTTCTGCATATGGCTAGCCAGTTTTCCCAGCACCATTTATTAAATAGGGAATCCTTTCCCCATTTCTTGTTTTTGTCAGGTTTGTCAAAGATCAGATAGTTGTAGATATGCGGCATTATTTCTAGGGCTCTGTTCTGTTCCATTGGTCTATATCTCTGTTTTGGTACCAGTACCATGCTGTTTTGGTTACTGTAGCCTTGTAGTATAGTTTGAAGTCAGGTAGTGTGATGCCTCCAGCTTTGTTCTTTCGGCTTAGGATTGACTTGGCAATGCAGGCTCTTTTTTGGTTCCACATGAACTTTAAAGTAGTTTTTTCCAATTCTGTGAAGAAAGTCACTGGTAGCTTGATGGGGATGGCATTGAATCTATAAATTACCTTGGGCAGTATGGCCATTTTCATGATATTGATTCTTCCTACCCAGGAGCATGGAATGTTTTTCCATTTGTTTGTATCCTCTTTTATTACGTTGAGCAGTGGTTTGTAGCTCTCCTTGAAGAGGTCCTTCACATCCCTTGTAAGTTGGATTCCTAGGTATTTTATTCTCTTTGAAGCAATTGTGAATGGGAGTTCACTCATGATTTGGCTGTTTGTCTGTTATTGGTGTATAAGAATGCTTGTGATTTTTGCACATTGATTTTGTATCCTGAGACTTTGCTGAAGTTGCTTATCAGCTTAAGGAGATTTGGGGCTGAGACGATGGGGTTTTCTAGATATACAAACATGTCATCTGCGAACAGGGACAATTTGACTTCCTCTTTTCCTAATTGAATACCCTTTATTTCCTTCTCTTGCCTGATTGCCCTGGCCAGAACTTCCAACACTGTGTTGAATAGGAGTGGTGAGAGAGGGCATCCCTGTCTTGTGCCCAGTTTTCAAAGGGAATGCTTCCAGCTTTTACCCATTCAGTATGATATTGGCTGTGGGTTTGTCATAAATAGCTCTTATCATTTTGAGATACGTCCCATCAATACCTAATTTATTGAGAGTTTTTAGCATGAAGGGCTGTTGAATTTTGTCAAAGGCCTTTTCTGCATCTATTGAGATAATCGTGTGGTTTTTGTCTTTGGTTCTGTTTATATGCTGGATTATGTTTATTGATTTGCGTATGTTGAACCAGCCTTGCATCCCAGGGATGAAGCCCACTTGATCATGGTGCATAAGCTTTTTGATGTGTTGCTGGATTCAGTTTGCCAGTATTTTATTGAGGATTTTTGCATCAGTGTTCATCAGGGATATTGGTTTAAAATTCTCTTTTTTTGTTGTGTCTCTGCCAGGCTTTGGTATCAGGATGATGCTGGCCTCATAAAATGAGTTAGGGAGGATTCCCTCTTTTTCTATTGATTGGAATAGTTTCAGAACGAATGGTACCAGCTCCTCCCTGTACCTCTGGTAGAATTCGGCTGTGAGTCCGTCTGGTCCTGGACTTTTTTTGGTTGGTAAGCTATTAATTATTGCCTCAATTTCAGAGCCTGTTATTGTTCTATTCAGAGATTCAACTTCTTCCTGGTTTAGTCTCGGGAGAGTGTATGTGTCGAGGAATTTATCCATTTCTTCTAGATTTTCCAGTTTATTTGCATAGAGGTGTTTATAGTATTCTCTGAAGGTAGTTTGTATTTCTGTGGGATCAGTGGTGATATCCCCTTTATCATTTTTTATTGTGTCTATTTGATTCTTCTCTTTTCTTCTTTATTAGTCTTGCTAGCGGTCTATCAATTTTGTTGATCTTTTCCAAAAACCAGCTCCTGGATTTACTGATTTTTTGAAGGGTTTTTTGTGTCTCTATCTCCTTCAGTTCTGCTCTGATGTTAGTTATTTCTCGCCTTCTGCTAGCTTTTGAATGTGTTTGTTCTTGCTTCTCTAGTTCTTTTAATTGTGATGTTAGGGTGTCAATTTTAGATCTTTCTGGCTTTCTCTTGTGGGCATTTAGTGCTATAAATTTCCCTCTACACACTGCTTTAAATGTATCCCAGAGATTCTGGTATGTTGTGTCTTTGTTCTCGTTGGTTTCAAAGAACATCTTTATTTCTGCCTTCTTTTTGTTATGTATCCAGTAGTCATTCAGGAGCAGGTTGTTCAGTTTCCATGTAGTTGAGCAGTTTTGAGTGACTTTCTTAATCCTGAGTTCTAGTTTGATTGCACTGTGGTCTGAGAGACAGTTTGTTATAATTTCTGTTCTTTTACATTTGCTGAGGAGTGCTTTACTTCCAACTATGTGGTCAATTTTGGAATAGGTGTGGTGTGGTGCTGAGAAGAATGTATATTCTGTTGATTTGGGGTGGAGAGTTCTGTAGATGTCTATTAGGTCTGCTTGGTGCAGAGCTGAGTTCAATTCCTGGATATCCTTGTTAACTTTCTGTCTCGTTGACCTGTCTAATGTTGACAGTGGGGTGTTAAAGTCTCCCATTATTATTGTGTGGGAGTCTAAGTCTCTTTGTAGGTCTCTGAGGACTTGCTTTATGAATCTGGGTGCTCCTGTATTGGGTGCATATATATTTAGGATAGTTGGCTCTTCTTGTTGAATTGATTCCTTTACCATTATGTAATGGCCTTCTTTGTCTCTTTTGATCCTTGTTGGTTTAAAGTCTGTTTTATCAGAGACTAAGGTTGGAACCCCTGCCTTTTTTTGTTTTCCAGTTGCTTGGTAGATCTTCCTCCCTCCCTTTATTTTGAGCCTATGTGTGTCTCTGCATGTGAGATGGGTTTCCTGAATACAGCACACTGATGGGTCTTGACTCTTTATCCAGTTTGCCAGTCTGTGTCTTTTAATTGGAGCATTTAGCCCATTTACATTTAAGGTTAATATTGTTATGTGTGATTTTGATCCTGTCATTATGATGTTAGCTGGTTATTTTGCTCGTTAGTTGATGCAGTTTCTTCCTAGCCTCAATGGTCTTTACAATTTGGCATGTTTTTGCAGTGGCTGGTACCAGTTGTTCCTTTCCATGTTTAGTGCTTCCTTCAGGAGCTCTTGTAGGGCAGGCCTGGTGGTGACAAAATCTCTCAGCATTTGCTTGTCTATAAAGTATTTTATTTCTCCTTCACTTATGAAGCTTAGTTTGGCTGGATATGAAATTCTGGGTTGAAAAATTCTTTTCTTTAAGAATGTTGAATATTGGCCCCCACTCTCTTCTGGCTTGTAGAGTTTCTGCCGAGAGATCAGCTATTAGTCTGATGGGCTTCCCTTTATGGGTAACCCGACCTTTCTCTCTGGCTGCCCTTAACAATTTTTCCTTCATTTCAAGTTTGGTGAATCTGACAATTATGTGTCTTGGAGTTGCTCTTCTCGAGGAGTATCTTTGTGGCATTCTCTGTATTTCCTGAATTTGAATATTGGCCTGCCTTCCTAGGTTGGGGAAGTTCTCCTGGATAATATCCTGCAGAGTGTTTTCCAACTTGGTTCCATTCTCCCCGTCACTTTCAGGTACACCAATCAGACGTAGATTTGGTCTTTTCACATACTTCCATATTTCTTGGAGGCTTTGTTCATTTCTTTTTATTCTTTTTTCTCTAAACTTCTCTTCTCACTTCATTTCATTCATTTGATCTTCCATCACTGATACCCTTTCTTCCAGTTGATTGAATAGGCTACTGAAGCTTGTGCATTTGTCACGTAGTTCTCGTGCCATGGTTTTCAGCTCCATCCATGGTTTTCAGGTCCTTTAAGGACTTCTCTGCATTGATTATTCTAGTTAGCCATTCATCTAATCTTCTCTCAAGGTTTTTAACTTCTTTGCCATGGGTTCGAACTTCCTCCTTTAGCTCAGAGAAGTTTGATCATCTGAAGCCTTCTTCTCTCAACTCGTCAAAGTCATTCTCCGTCCAGCTTTTTTCCGTTGCTGGTGAGGAGCTGCGTTCCTTTGGAGGAGGAGAGGCGCTCTGATTTTTAGAATTTTCAGTTTTTCTGCTCTGTTTTTTCCCCATCTTTGTGGTTTTATCTACCTTTGGTCTTTGATGATGGTGACATACAGATGGGTTTTTGGTGTGGATGTCCTTTCTGTTTGTTAGTTTTCCTTCTAACAGTCAGGACATGTAGCTGCAGGTCTGTTGGAGTTTGCTAGAGGTCCACTCCAGACCCTGTTTGCCTGGGTATCAGCAGCGGAGGCTGCAGAACAGCGAATACTGGTGAACAGCAAATGTTGCTGCCTGATCGTTCCTCTGGAAGTTTTGTCTCAGAGGGTACCCAGCCGTGTGAGGTGTCAGTCTGCCCCTACTGGGGGGTGCCTCCCAGTTAGGCTACTCGGGGGTCAGGGACCCACTTGAGGAGGCAGTCTGTCCGTTCTCAGATCTCAAGCTGCGTGCTGGGAGAACCACTACTCTCTTCAAAGCTGTCAGACAGGGACATTTAAGTCTGCAGAGGTTTCTGCTGCCTTTTGTTTGGCTGTGCCCTGCCCCCAGAGGTGGAGTCTACAGAGGCAGGCAGGCCTCTTTGAGCTGCAGTGGGCTCCACCCAGTTCGAGCTTCCGGGCTGCTTTGTTTACCTGCTCAAGCCTCAGCAATGGCGGGCGCCCCTCCCCAAGACTTGCTGCCGCCTTGTGGTTTGATCTCAGACTGCTGTGCTAGCAATGAGTGAGGCTCCGTGGGCATGGGACCCTCCGAGCCATGCACAGCATATAATCTCCTGGTGTGCCGTTTGCTAAGACCATCGGAAAAGCGCAGTATTAGGGTGGGAGTGACCCAATTTTCCAGGTGCTGTCTGTCACCCCTTTCCTTGGCTAGGAAAGGGAATTCCCTGACCCCTTGTGCTTCCTGGGTGAGGCGATGCCTCGCCCTGCTTCGGCTCATGCTCGGTGCGCTGCACCCACTGTCCTACACCCACTTTCCAACAATCCCCAGTGAGATGAACCTAGTACCTCAGTTGGAAATGCAGAAATCATCCATCTTCTGTGTCACTCACGCTGAGAGCTGTAGACTGGAGCTGTTCCTATTCGGCCATCTTGGCGAGTCTCAACCTTTTTTTTTTTTTTGAGACGAAGTCTCACTCTGTTGCCCAGGCTGGAGTACAGTGGCACAATCTCAGCTCACTGCAGCTTCCAACTCCCGGATTCAAGTGATTCTCTTGCCTCAGCCTCCCGAGTAGCTGGGATTACAGGCTCCCGCCACAACACCCAGCTAATTTTTGTATTTTTAGTAGAGATGGGGTTTCACCATGTTGGTCAGGCTGGTCTCGAACTCCTGACCTCGTGATTCACCCACCTCAGCCTCCCAAAGTGCTGGGATTACAGGCATGAGGCACTGCACGTGGCCGAGAACTTGTGTTTCTAACAAGCTCCCAGGTGATGCTGTGGCCTGTCTGGGACTTCACTCTGAGAATTGCTATGTGAAAGTATAATTTTCAAAGAAGTAAAATTATGGCTGTCATACAAGTATAAAATGAACTTGTGTTGTAGATTTTATTTATTTAGCTCCTTAATTAATGAGGGAGCCAGAAAATGGTTAAATCCAGTTAAGAGTAAATTTAAAGAGACACATATAACCAGTAATGCTGAATTTGCCAATGGACAAAAAACTGGTTCATATACTATAAATTGGAGTGGGGTTATCTTTTCTAAAACTCTATGTATCTCTACTAGACAAAATTCATTTGTATATCTATGGATAAGAATAATTTGTATAATTGTCAGTTTTTCTGTAACTAAACTTCCGTCTTTATAGGGTTATAAAATAGCCTAGTCAATAGAAAGACAACCATAAATGTCCACCCTTATGGAGTCAGATAATCCTTGAAGAACCGCCAAATCATTTGGAGGACTTGGATTGCTGGTTCCCACCCCCAGGGTTATTGCTACATGGATGAAGAAGAGATCCAAGAAACTTTAATGGAATGATGTGGGGTAAATAACAGCAAAGTCTTTCTCCTTTTTGTGTTTTCTACGTCATCTTAATGTCCTGAGGACTTCATTCTTGGCCATTTTCTTCTTCAGACTGGTGGAAAGAGGAAGGAAATGAGAACTCCGTGGTGTCTCGGACAGGTAGGGCTTGGCAGGTGGAGGAGGGTGAAAGTGAAGCTGGGCTCAGACAGGGGGTATGAGTCACCATTCAAACTCAGAGGCAGCTGAAAGTGAGAGTGTCCCATTGCCAGCAACCATTCCCAGGAAGAAGCCAGGTGTCGCCTTCATCTGTTCTGCAGCTGGGGATTCCTGTGAAGATAGGAGGGAGGCAGAGAAGCTTAGCAGCGTCTTAGCCCACACTGAGGGCTGGTCAAGATATGGGAGAATTTTCAAGTGGCAGTTTCAGGCTGGGCGTAGTGGCTCACGCCTGTAATCCCAGCACTACGGGAGGCCAAGGCAGGCAGATTACCTGAGGTCAGGAGTTTGAGACCAGCCTGGCCAACGTGGTGAAACCCTGTCTCCTACTAAAAATACAAAAATTAGCCAGGTATGGTGGCGCATGCTTGTAATCCCAGCTACTTGGGAGGCTGAGGCAGGAGAATCGCTTGAACCCGGGAGGCGGAGGTTGCAGTGAGCCGAGATGGTGCCATTCACTCCAGCCTGGGCAACAAGAGTGAAACTCTATCTCAAAACAAAAACAAAAATAAAGACAGAAGTTCATAGATTGAGTAAGTCTTTGTATCAAGTCCATGTGTTTTGATTGAATCCTGTGTTTTTTTTTTTTTTCCTCGAGGTCATCTAGTGGCTGTTGGATAAAACTCAGATGGAGAACTCTTTTTTTTTTTTGAGATGGAGTCTCGCTTTGTTGCCCAGGCTGGAGTGCAGTGGTGCGATCTTGGCTTATTGCAACCTCTGGATGCCCCACAAGAGTGTGTAGACTGCTGCAGGCCTAAGGACTGGCCTAGCCATCGCAGCCACTGCCAACACCAGCACATACTGCTTGGGGGCCAGAGGTTTGTCCTGTCACTGCTACCGCCATCATCCACATCATGCCCAATGACCAGGTAAAAGAGCCCGCTGACCCACCTGGCCCACTGCTGCTGCTACTGGCATCTGAGCAAATCACCTGGAGGCCCAAGAATTGGCCTACCTGGACCCATTTATAGTAGTGGCAGCATACGTCTAAGGATAGGCATGCTTGGCCCATGGAGAGGCCCACCTGGGGACTCCATTTCCAGGAAACTTTACCATAGCCTCCACTAACAACTGAACCATAAGTGACTGAGGAAATCATAGACACCACTGATGCTGTTAATAGCCAAAAGAAAAATAAATCATGGAGAATATACTACTGCATGTATCCAGAATCAAAGCCAAAATGTCCTACCCAAGGAACACATCTTCAGGAAAAAGATCTTCCCTACCAAAACAAATTCAAAAAATTTGAAAAAGTGACTGTTATACCAGATAGGCAGATATCAACTTAAGGACCTGAGATACATAAAAAAAGTAAGGAAATATGACACCTTTAAAGAAATATGATAGTTCTCCAGTAACAAATTCCAATCAAAAAGAAATTTATGAAATCCTAGGCCAGGGGCTGTGGCTCATGCCTAAAATTCCAGCACTTTGGGAGGCTGAGGCAGGCAGATTGCTTGAGCTCAAGAGTTCAAGACTAGCCTGGGCAACATGGTGAAGCCTTGTCTCTACAAAAAATTAGCAGCATGTGGTGGTGCACACCTGTGGTTCCAGTTACTTGAAAGGCTGAGACAGGAGTATTGCTTGAGACTGGGAGGCAGAGGTTTCTGTTAGCCAAGATCATGCCACTGCACTTCAGCCTGGGAAGTAGAGCAAGCCCTCTGTCTCAAAGAAGAAAAAAAAAAAAAAACTTATGGAATCCTGGAAAAAGAATTCAAACTAATGATATTAAAGAAGCCGAGTGAAATACAAGATAATTCTGAAAAACAGTACAAAGAAATCAGAAAAACAGTTCAGGATATGAATGAGAAATTTACCAAGGAGACATCAAAAAAATAACCAAACAGAAATTCTGGAACTAAGGAATTCATTAAATAAAATACAAAATACATTAGAAACCTTGAACAATCCATTAGATTAAGCAGAAGAAAGAATTTCAGAACCTGAAGATAGGTCTTTTGTAATAACCCAGACAAAAATTTTAAAAAAAAGAATAAAAAAGAATGAACAAAGCATGCATGACATATGGGACACCATAAAGTGATCAAATATTTAAATTTTCAGTGTCCCAGTAGGTAAAGAGAAAATGAAAGGGATAGAAAACCTATTTAACAAAAATAATACCTGAAAACTTCTCAAGTATAGCAAGAGATTTAGATATCCAGATACAGGAAGCTCAGAGGTCCCCAAGGAGATAAAATGCAACAAGTTCTTCTCTGTGGCACATTACAATCAAACTGTCAAAACTCAAAGACAAGGAGAGAGTTTTAAAACCAGCAAGAGGAAAGCTTCTAGTCACTTATAAGAGAACCCTCATCAGACTAACAACAAATTTCTTAGCAGAAACCTTATAGGCCAAGAGAGAATAGGATAATACATCCAAAGTTCATAAAAGAAAAAAAAATTCAAATGTATGATACTATACCCAGCAAAGTTATCCTTCATAAATCAAGCAGAAATAAAGTCTTTCCCAGACAAGCAAAAGCTGAGGGAATTAATCATCACTAGATTGACCCTACAAGAAATGAAATGCTTGACGGAGTCCTACACCTGGAAGTGAAATGATAGGTATCATCATGAATAAGACACGTGAAAGTATAAAACCTACTGGTAGATCAAACATACCAATAAAGGAGAAAAATAACTAAAATATTACTACTACAGCAAACCACCAAACCACAATAATAAATGAGAGAGAAAGAAAGGCACAAAGGATATACAACACTACCAGAAATCAATTAGTAAGTGACAAGGGCTGGGCATGGTGGCTCACACCTCTAATCCCAGCACTTTGGGAGGCCAAGGCAGGCAGATCACGAAGTCAGGAGTTCAAGACCAGCCTGACCAATATGATGAAACTCCATCTCTACTAAAAATACAAAAATTAGCTGGATGTGGTGGTGCATGCCTGTAGTCCCAGCTACTCGGGAGGCTGAGGCAGGAGAATCGCTTCAACCTGGGAGGCAGAGGTTGCAGTGAGCCAAGATGGCACCACTGCACTCCAGCCTCAGTGACAGAGCGAGACTCCGTTTCAAAAAAAAAAAAATTAAAAAAATAAGTGACAAGAATGAGCCCTCACATATCAATAATAATCTTGAAAGTAAATGGATCAAACTTTCTACTTAAAAGATATAAACTGGCCAAATGGATAAAAAACATGACCCAACTATATGCTGCTTACAAGAAACACATCTCACCTGCAAATACACATATAAATTGAAAGTAAAGGAATGGAGAAAGATATTCCATGGAAATGGAAACCAAAAGTGAGCAGGAGTAGTTATACTTCTATGAGATAAAATATATTTAAGTGAAAAACAGTAAAAAGAGACAAGACCATTGTTGGATGATAAATGTATCAATTCAGCGGCAGGTTACAACAATTCTTAAAATATATGCACCCAACACCAGAGCACCCAGATATATAAAGCAAATATTACTAAATCTAAATGGAGTGATAGACTCTACTACAATGATAGTTGGAGACTTCAGTACCTCATTCTCAGCATTAGATGGATCATCTAGGACAGAAAATTAACAAAGAAATTGTTGAATTTAAATTGCACTTTAGACCACATAAGCCTAACCAACACAGAACATTTCATCCAACAGCTATAGAATACATTCTTCTCATCAACATAGGGAACATTCTCTAGGATAGACATATGTTAGGACAGAAAACAAGTCTCAGCAAATTTTTAGAAATCAAAGTTAATACAAAGTATCTTCTCAGACCACAGTGGAATACAACTACAAATCAATAACAAGAGGAACTTTGGAAACTGTACAAGCACATGGAAATTAAACAACATGCTCTTGAATGGCCACTGAGTCAAGGAAGAAATTGAGGAAATTTTTTAAAATCTTGAAACAAATGAAAATCAAAACATAACACACAAAAACCTACGAAATGTAGTAAAAGCAGGCAAAGAGGGAAGTTTATAGCAATAAATGCCTAAATCAAAAAAGTAGAGAGATTGAAAATTAACAATGTAACAATGCACCTCAAAGAACTAGAAAATCAAGAAAAACACAGACCCCAAATTAGTATAAGAAAATAAATAATGAAGATCAGAGCAGAACTAAATGAAATAGAGACCAAAAACCAATACAAAAGATCAATGAAATGAAATTTGGTTCTTCAAAAAGACAAACAAAAATCATAAACTGCTAGCTAGGCTAACCAAGAAAAGAAGAGAGAAGGCCCAAATAAAGTCAGAAATGAAAAAGGAAACATTACAACTGATACAACAGGGACACAAAAACTTATGAGAGACTATTATGAACAACTGTAAACTAAAAACTGAAAAACCTAGAGGAAATGGATAAATTCCTATATACACACAACATACTAAGATTGAATAAGGAAGATATAGAAAACCTGAGCAGACCAATAACGAGTAATGAAATTGAATCAGTAATAGAAATCTCCTGTCCAGAACTGGATGGCTTCACTGTCAAATTCTACCAAACTTTCAAAGAAGAACTAATGGTAACTCTCTTCAAATATTCCAAAAAATTGAAGAAGAGGAAATTCTCCTTAACTCATTCTATGAGGCCAGTGTTAACCTGATATCAATACCAGATAAAGGCACAACAAAAAAAGAAAGCTATAGACGAATGTCCCTAATGAATGTAGATGTAAAAATACTCAACAAAATACCAGCAAATCGAATCTAACAGCGTATCAAAAAGATAATACGCTATGACCAAATGGGATTTATCCTAAGGAGGCAAGGATGGTTCAGCATACCCAAATCAATAAACATGATACATCATATCAACAAAATGAAGGACAAAAACCATATAAGCATCTCAATAGATGCAGAAAAAGCATTTGATAAAATTCAGTATCCCTTTATGGTAAAAACTCTCAACAAATTAGGCATAGAAGAAACATACCTCAATATAATAAAGGCCATATATGACAAACCCATAGCTAACATCATACTGAATCTAGAAAAGCTGAAAGCCTTTCCTCTAAGAACTGGAACAAGACAAGGATGCCCATTTTCGCCACTCTTATTCAACATAGTACTGGAAGTCCTAGTCAGATCAGTCAGGCAAGAGAAAGAAATAAAAGTTTCCAAATTGGAAAATAGGAAGTCAAATTGTCCCTCTTTGCAGATATAATCTTATTCTAGAAAAACCTAAAGACTCCACTAAAAAACTCTTAGAGCTGATAAATAAATTCAGGAAAGTCGCAAGATACAATATTGACATACAAAAATCAGTAGCATTCTTATATACCAATAATGAACCAGCTGAGAAAGAAATCAAGAAGGCAATACCATTTATAATAGCTACAAAAAAGTAAAATACCTAGGAATAAATTTAACCAAGGAAGGGAAAGACCTCTCTAAGAAAATCCATAAAACATTGATGAAAGAAATAGATGAGGACACAAACAAATGGAAAGACATCCCATGCTCATGGATCAGAAGAATAAATATTGTTAAAATGATCATACTGCCCAAAGCAATCTACAGATTCAAAGCAATCCCTATCAAAATACCAACGTTATTGTTCACAGAAATAGAAAAAGCAAATACAATTTGTATGGAATCGAAAAAGAGCTAAAATAGCCAAGGTGATTCTGAGCAAAAAGTACAAAGCTGGAGGTATTACATTATCTGACCTGAAAATATATTACAAGTCTATAGTAACCAAAACAGCATGGTACTGGTATAAAAACAGACACATAGACTGAGGAAACAGAATAGAGAACCCAGAAATAAATTCACATATTTACAGCCAACTGATTTTCAGCAAAAGTGCCAAGAACATACATTGGGTAAAGGACACCCTTTTCAATAAATGGTCCTGGGAAAATTGTATATTCATATGCAAAAAAATAAAACTGGATCCCTAACTATTACCATATACAAAAACTAACTCAAGATAAAGATTTAAATTGTAGACCCAGAACTCTAAAACCACTAAAAGAAAATACAGGGGAAACACTTCAGGACATTAGTCTAGGCAAAGATTTTATGGCTAAGGCCTCCAAAGCACAGACAACAAATCAAAAAACAGACAAATGGGACTGTTTTAAACTAACAATCTTCTGCACAGCAAAGGAAATAATCAACAGAGTGAAGAGGCAACCTGCCGAATGGGAGAAAATATTTGGAAAGTATTCATTTAACAAGGAAATAATATCTAGAATATACAAGAAACTCAACAAAACTCAACAGTAAAAAAAAAAAAATCTCCCTACTAAAAAAAGTGGGTAAAGGACATAAATAGACATTTTTCAAAAGAAAACACAAAAATGGCCATCAAGTATAAGAAAAAATGCTCAACATCACCAACCATCAGAGAAATGCACATCAGTGAGATATGCACACAGTGAGATATCATTTTACCCCAGTTAGAATGCCTTAAGTTATAAAAAAGACAAAAAATAACATGCTGATGAGAATGCAGAGAAAAGGGAACTGTCATACACTGTTGGTGGGAATGTAAATTAGTACAGCCACTATGGAAAAGAGTATGGACATGACTCAAAAAACTAAAAATAGAACTACCACACAATCCAGCAGTCTCACTACTGGGTATCTATCCAAAGGAAAAGAAATCAGTGTATCAGAGGGATGCCCACATTCCCATGTTTATTTCAGCACTGTTCACAATAGCAGAGATATGGAATCAACCTGTGTCTATCACTGGACAATTGGATAAAGAAAATGTTGTGTGTGTGTGTGTGTGTGTGTGTGTGTGTATATACTATTTAGCCATAAGAAGAATGAAATCATGTCATTGCAGCAACATGGATGGAGCTGGAGATCATTATATTAAGTGAAATAAGCCAGGCACAGAAAGACAAATACTGCATGTTGTCACTCACGTGTAGGACTAAAAAAAAAGTTAATCTCATAGAGGTAGAGAGAAAAATGATAGATCCCAGCGTCTAGGAGGGGTGTATGTGGTGGGAGGTGGTGCAGGGAGATAAAGAGAAGTTGGTTAATGGGTACAAACACACAGTTAAGTAGAAGAAATAAGTTCTAATATTCAATAGTAGAATAGGGTGGCTGTAGTTAACAACACTGTATTGTATATTTCAAAATGGCTAGAAGAGAAGACTTGAAATGTTTCCAACACATAGAAATGGTAAATACTTGAGGTGATGGACACCTCAGATAACTCTAATTTGATGATTACACAGTCTATGCACGTAACTGAATATCACATGTACCCCATAAATATGTATAAAAATTATGTATCAATACAAAATTTTTAAAAAAGAGTGTATAGATTTCCAAAATGATGTGTTCAGTGCTGTTGGTGTGAAAGAATACCTCAAATTTGTAAAAAGTTTTGCATTTTGCAAAGTATTTTCCTTAGACATTATCTCATTCAATTAATATCTTTAATGTTTGCTAATTACAATAGCCTAAAAACACCATATATATAGGAATAAATCTAATAAAACGTGTACAAGTCCTCTTCATTAAAAATGGCCTATAATTATTGAAATAAATTAAAATCTAAATAAATTGAGGGCTAGACCATGTTCATGGATTGGAAGACTTAAGACTGCAAAGAAGTCTGGGTGCAGTGGCTCATGCCTGTAATCCCAGCACTTTGGGAGGCCGAGGTGGGTGGATCACCTGAGGTCAGGAGTTCAAGACCAGCCTGACCAACATGGCGAAACCCTGTCTCTACTAAAAATACAAAAATTAGCCCTCTCCCTCTCCCTCTCCCTCTCCTCCCTCTCCCTCTCCCTCTCTTTCCACGGTCTCCCTCTCATGCCGAGCCAAAGCTGGACTGTGCTGCTGCCATCTCGGCTCACTGCAACCTCCCTGCCTGATTCTCCTGCCTCAGCCTGCCGAGTGCCTGTGATTGCAGGCGCGCGCCGCCACGCCTGACTGGTTTTCGTATTTTTTTGGTGGAGACGGGGTTTCGCTGTGTTGGCCGGGCTGGTCTCCAGCTCCTAACCGCGAGTGATCCGCCAGCTTCGGCCTCCCGAGGTGCCGGGATTGCAGATGGAGTCTTGTTAACTCAGTGTTCAATGGTGCCCAGGCTGGAGTGCAGTGGCGTGATCTCGGCTACAACCTCCACCTCCCAGCCGCCTGCCTTGGCCCCCGAAAGTGCCGAGATTGCAGCCTCTGCCCGGCCGCTACCCCGTCTGGGAAGTGAGGAGCGTCTCTGCCTGGCCGCCCATCGTCTGGGATGTGAGGAGCCCCTCTGCCTGGCTGCCCAGTCTGGAAAGTGAGGAGCGTCTCTGCCCGGCCGCCATCCCACCTAGGAAGTGAGGAGCGCCTCTTCCCGGCCGCCATCACATCTAGGAAGTGAGGAGCGTGTCTGCCCGGCCGCCCATCGTCTGAGATGTGGGGAGCGCCTCGGCCCGGCCGTGACCCCGTCTGGGAGGTGAGGAGCGTCTCTGCCCGGCCACCCCGTCTGAGAAGTGAGGAGACCCTGCGCCTGGCAACCGCCCCATCTGAGAAGTGAGGAGCCTCTCCGCCTGGCTGCCACCCCATCTGGGAAGGGAGGAGCGTCTCCGCCCGGCAGCCACCCCGTCCGGAAGGGAGGTGGGGGTCAGCCCCCGCCAGGCCAGCCGCCCCGTCCGGGAGGGAGGTGGGGGTCAGCCCCCCACCCAGCCAGCCGCCCCGTCCAGGAGGTGAGGGGCGCCTCTGCCCGGCCGCCCCTACTGGGAAGTGAGGAGCCCCTCTGCCCGGCCACCATCTCGTCTGGGAGGTGTACCCAACAGCTCATTGAGAACGGGCCATGATGACAATGGCGGTTTTGTGGAATAGAAAAGGGGGAAAGCTGGGGAAAAGACTGAGAAATCGGATGGTTGCTGTGTCTGTGTAGAAAGAAGTAGACATGGGAGACTTTTCATTTTGTTCTGTACGAAGAAAAATTCTTCTGCCTTGGGATCCTGTTGATCTATGACCTTACCCCCAACCCTGTGCTCTCTGAAACATGTGCTGTGTCCACTCAGGGTTAAATGGATTAAGGGCGGTGCAAGATGTGCTTTGTTAAACAGATGCTTGAAGGCAGCATGCTCCTTAAGAGTCATCACCACTCCCTAATCTCAAGTACCCAGGGACACACACACTCTGCCTAGGAAAACCAGAGACCTTTGTTCACTTGTTTATCTGCTGACCTTCCCTCCACTATTGTCCTATGACCCTGCCAAATCCCCCTCTGGGAGAAACACCCAAGAATGATCAATAAAAAAAAAAAAAAAAAAAAAAAAAAAAAACGAAAGAAAAAAAAATACAAAAATTAGCCGGGTGTGGTGACGCATGCCTGTAATCCCAGCTGCTTGGGAGGCTGAGGCGAGAGAATCGCTTGAACCTGGGAGGCAGAGGTTGCGATGAGCTGAGATTGCGCCACTGCACTCTAGCCTAGTCAACAGAGCAAGACTCCATCTCAAAAAAAAAAACAAAAAAACTACAAAGATGTCAGTTCTCTCCAAATTAATCTTTAGATTCAATACAACCTTTTTCGAAGTACTAGCAGATTTTATTAAAATTTTTGAAATTGACAAGCTAATTTCTGAAACTCATATGGAAATACAAAGAGCCGAGAAGAGTAAAGACAACCTTGAAGAAGAAAAAGAAAGTTGGAAAATGTATACCAGATGAATAGACTTATTATAAATCTATAGTACTAGGACAGTGTGAAATTCTTTTACATTTTACTCATTTGCATGGCTCTGAAGGCTGAGCCCTACTGGGCAGAGAGAGTGGAAAGCATTTGAGTTTCCACTGTACATCCACCAGTGGGGGTTGGTGGTATCATTTTTGTATGTGAAGGACAGGGCATGGACCCATTCTTTCTAGTAAAGCCAGAGAGCTACTTTGTTCTGTAAACCAGTGATTTTGTCTTGTTGGTTGTTTATAGCAGGAAGTCATCTGATAGTCTAGCCAGCAGTGCCATGGATGCCGCACTGTGTCCAATGGGATGTTTAAAGTCGCCAGAGGCCATTGACCCTAGATGCTGCATTTGCTCTCAATTTTGTGTGTTGGCGTTTGCATAAAATGGAGCATTTATTTATGCTTACAAATTTCTTTGTTGAAATAGCTTTTCATTTGTAGCAAAAGAATAAATCTTAGGTATTGAAAATTTAGAAAATGCAGATAGGCAAATAGAAGGACATAAAAAGCAGGCAATCTTAGCACTCAGATATCAGGGCTGACCTACCCATTAGGCACAGGAAGCACCCAGGGCCCACAAATGTTTTAATTTTAATTTCTCTTGAGAAGAAAAAAGTGCATGTAATAATAATGAATATATAATAGTAAACCTAGCCAGTGTTATGTT